>NC_000007.14:152488682-152640197 GCF_000001405.40 Homo sapiens
GCTGGCACATGCCTGTAATCCCACCTACTTGGGAGGCTGAGGCAGGAGAATTGCTTGAACCCGGGAGGCGGAGGTTGCAGTGAGCAGAGATTGCGCCATTGCACTCTAGCCTGGGTGAAGAAGCGAGACTCTGTCTAAAAAAAAAAAATAAATGAAAATAAATAAATAAATCAACAACTGTATTTTAAATTATAAGTGTAGCCCCTTGTTTCATTTTACTATTTAAGAGACATGAGTCATACTTCTATGCTGTGCTGGAAATGGCGGAGAATTGACAAGTATGGAATTTCCCAGCCCCCAACTGTAGGATCCTGAAAATGACAGAATTGTAAACAGATATTTCACGTTAATACAAAGACCTCAGAATAGGCTTTTTTATTCCCACGCCAGTCCCATCTTTATTCTAACGTGCCACGCTCCAATGCAGCGGTTCTCAGCGTGTGGCCTGAGGACCCCTGGGATTCTGGAGGCCCTTTCGATGGGTCTGTGAGGCCCTTCGTTTTCCAACTTCATATCCATGTGAGGCCAGATACTCTTCATGTAATTCAACCAAAACATCAGACTGCAATAGATTGAATGTAGATATGAGAACCAGCTGTCCTCTATTAAGCCAGATAGCAAAGAGATTCATAAAACTGTAAAACAATGCCACTCTTTATGGTGTCTTTTGTTTTGGAGAATATAATTATTTTTAATAAAAATGTGTTCTTTACATTAACATGATGGGTTTATTGTTCTTTTAAAATGAAGTAATGAAGTGTTTTTAAATTTTCTCAATTTTAGTTTCTAATATGGTAAATATCAAAAAATATGATCCACATAAACGAACCTCCTGGTGGGTTCTTTGTAATTTTTAGGAGCGTGAAAGTGTCCTGAAACCAACCAGGTGCGGTGGCTCATGCCTGTAATCCCAGCACTTTGGGAGGCTGAGGCGGGCAGATCACGCAGTCAAGAAATCGAGACCACCCTGGCCAACATGGCAAAAACCCATCGCTACTTGCTCTGTTGCCCAGGCTGGAGTGCAATGGTGTGATCTCGGCTCACTGCAACCTTTGCCTCCTGCGTTGAAGCGATCCTCTTGCCTCAGCCTCCCGAGTAGCTGGGACTACAGGTGTGCACCACCACACCCAGCTATTTTTCTTATATTTTTAGTAGAGACCAGGTTTCACCATGTTAGCCAGGCTGGTCTCGAACTCCTGACCTCAGGCACCTGCTTTGGCCTCCCAAAGTGGTGGGATTACAGGCGTGAGCCACCATGCCCATTTTTCTTATTCCAACATTATCTCTTGATCTCACAACTCTGATATCTAGTCAGAAATCCTTCTTTTTTCTTTTCTTTTCTTTTTTTTTGAGACAGGGTCTCGCTGAGTTACCCAGGCCAGAGTGCAGTGGTGTGATCATAGCTGGTGTGGAACTCCTGGGCCCAATTTTAAAGTTGCAGAGGCCAGGCACAGTGGCTCACTCCTATAATCCCAACACTTTGAGAGGCTGAGGAAGGAGGATGACTTGAGGCCAGGGGTTCTAGATTTGCCTGGGCAACATAGTGAGACCCTGTCTCTCCAAAAAAAAAAAAAAAAAACTGAAGAAACTGAGGTTCACAGGTTACTAACACGGTTAGTAAATAAATAAATCAGAAATAAGATTAATCTTGTAGGGCTGGGCACGGTGGCTCATGCCTGTAATCCCAGTACTTTGGGAGGCCAAAGTGGGTAGATCACTTGAGCCCAGGAGTTCACGACCAGTCTGGGGAATGTGGCAAAACCCTATCTCTACAAAAAAATACAAAAGTTAGCTGGGCGTGGTGGCATGCACCTGTATTCCCAGTTACCTGGGAGTCTGAGGTGGGAGGATTGCCTGAGGCCCAGGAGGCAGAAGTTGCAATAAGCCAAGATCACACCACTGTACTCCAGCCTGGGTGACAGAGCGAGACCCTGTCTCAAAAAAGCAGAAACAATGATTAATCTTGTAGCTCTTCCATTACAATTTATGTCTTTTAAAAATGCTCCTCTCTTTTTGTCTTTCCTTCCGAGTGTTTTTTTCTATCCTCTCTCTGAATGCAACAAGAAGGGAAGTGGGGAATGGAGACCAATAGCAAAATAGAACCATCTCTTCTAAACCTTTTGCCTTGCCTCTCTGCTTAAAGCTGCTATCATTTCATCATTAATTAAAGGCGATGGAGCAAAGGTCCCTGGGTTGTCATTTGTTGCTGTTGCACCATCTAACATTGATTTGAGTGTTTATAATGGGGTTGGTACTATTCAGAATATCTGATGACAAATCTTGGCTTCTATCTTTTTTTGTTTTTGAGTTTCACTCTGTCGCCCAGGCTGGAGTGCATGGCGCAATCTTGGCTCACTGAAACCTCAGTCTCTTGGGTTCAAGCAATTTCCCCCTCTCAGACTCCCAAGTAGCTGGGACTACAGGCACCGACCACCATGCCCACCTAATTTTTGTATTTTTAGTAGAGACGGGGTTTCACCATGCTGACCAGGCTGGTCTCAAATTCCTAACCTCAGGCGATCCACCTGCCTCAGCCTCCCAAAGTGCTGGGATTAGAGGCATGACCCACTGTGCCAGCCAATTTGTCTCACCTGAGGTCAGGAGTTCAAGACTAGCATGGCCAACATGGTGAAACTCTGTCTCTACTAAAACTACAAAAATTAGCGGGGCATGGAGGCAGATGCCTGTAGTCCCAGTTACTCAGGGGGCGGGCGGGGGCGGGAGAATCGCTTAAACCTAGGAGGTGGCAGTTGCAGTGAGCCGAGATTGCCCCACTGCACTCCAGCCTGGGGGACAGAGTGAGACTCTGTCTCAAAAAAACAAAAAAAAGAAACTTGGCCTCTATCTTATTGCAGTGTTTGCAGCAGCAGGGGTAAACCCAAAGTATCAGCTACTCCTACAATTATTTCTAATTAGTTTATAAGAGGTTCTTTGTAATTACCAGAGAATTGGGGTCTATCTGAAGTTTAGGGGCATCATAATACTTCAAAAAAATAACAAACCTATGCTGGAGTGACTCCTATGGGAGACTTAGAGCTCTGTGGAATTTCCCACACTCACCCTCCACTCTGCTCCTCCTGGCCACACTACCCATGCTGGGAAATTCATCCCTTCTCATCCCACTGCAAGGTACCGTTCTGTTTCTCTCACACTAAAATTGCTTTCTTCCAAGGTGTCCCTGGGGCTAAAACAGATAATTAAGAATTTTTTCGCTGGGCGTGGTGGCTCACACCTGTAATCCCAGCACTTTGGGAGGCTGAGGCAGGTGGATCACCTGAGGTCAGGAGTTTAAGACCAGCCTGGCCAACATGGTGAAACCCTGTCTCTACTAAAAATAAAAATAAAAAAATTAGCTGGGCATGGTGGTAGGCGCCTGTAATCTCAGCTACTTCGGGAGGCTGAGGCAGGAGAATTGCTTGAGCCTGGGAGGCTGAGGCTGCAGTGAGCCGAGATCGCACCATTGCACTCTGGCCTGGGCGACAAGAGCGAAATTCTGTCTCAAAAAAAAAAAAAAAAAAAAAGATTTCAAGACGAAGAAATCTCAAACTTCTTTCTCTGGGCTACCACTATAATATAAAAACAAGAATTCAACAGAGATAATAATGCCTTAAACTTTTTAAAAAGATTACTAGTTGGAGCTTTTCTTACTTTTCTCAAGTATATATTCTTTACTATAATGTCTGTTCAGCTTTCAGAAAATTAACAGGTTATATTGTCAAAAAGGTTTTCCAAAGTTCTAGGTTATAAACTACAGCTCTGTAACAGGAATAGGGGAGGAAAAAGCAGGTTAGAGACATTCCATTTTTTACTTTATAGCTTGAAAATTGCTTTAATTTTCATGCAGGAAGCAGGTATTGCTTTTGTAATTGAGGCTTTTTAATTAAAAAAAATTTTCCCCATTGTTTAATATCTGGAAAAAAATAATCTTAACTTCAAAGTGTTAGCTATTATCCTATGTTGTTATAGTAGAGAGCTTTTTGAGACAAAAATTACTTCTAGCTGATGCTTTTATAATCCAGAATCAGATTTTAAAGCAGGTGCAGATCCTAAGTGAAGCACAAGCCTGTATCTTCTTGAAGTAGGGTAACATTTTCTGGATTCTGCAGCTATGAATTACAGGATATAAAATTTATCGGGCAGCTCTCAGAACCAGGACAGGCTCAGAGGGGTTCGAGGACAATATTTTAAAATATTAACTGAAATCTCCTTCACAATTTTTTATATTGTCCTTTTCCCATTAGGAAATTTTTTTTTCTTTTTTTGAGATAGGGTCTCCCTACATTGCCTAGGCTGGAGTGCAGTGGCTATTCACAGGTGCGATCATAGCACAGTACAGTCTTGAACTCCTAGGCTCAAGCAATCCTCCTGCCTAAGCCTCCTGAGTAGCTGAGACTCCAGGCATGGGCCATCATATCTGGTTTGATATCTAGAAATGTATCAATACATTTGCAGTAGTCTAAAAAAGCAAACTCATCAATTTACTGAAAACTGAACAGATATATAGTAAAGAATATATACTTGAGAAAAGTAAACAAAGCTCCAAATAGTAATCCTTTTAAAAAGTTTAAGGTGGCTGGGCATGGTGGCTCACGCCTGTAATGCTACCACTTTGGGAGGCTGAGGCAGGTGGATCACTTGACATCAGGAGTTCAAGACCAGCCTGGCCGACATGGTGAAATCCCATCTCTAAGAGAAGCACAAGCCTCTGTCTTCTTGAAGTAGGGTAACAAATACAAAAATTAGCTGGGGATGGTGGAAGATGCCTGTAATCCCAGCTACTCGGGAGGCTAAGGCAGGAGAATCGCTTGAACCTGGGAGGCAGAGGTTGCAGTGAGCCAAGATCGTGCCACTGCACTCCAGCCTGGGCAACAGTGTGAGACTCTATCACAAAAAAAAAAAAAAAAAAATTAAGGTGTTATTATCTCTGTTGAATTCTTATTTTTATATTATAGCAGTAGCCCAGGAAAAGAAGTTTGAGATTTCTTTCTCTTACTTAGACACCTTCTTAGCCTGATGCCAGAAGTCTACAGCAGATTTCAGAGGTGATGCAGAAATTTTAGAATTTCCCTTCCCTTCCCTTCCCTTCCCTTCCCTTCCCTTCCCTTCCCTTCCCTTCCCTTCCCTTTCCTTCCCTTCCCTTTTCCCTTCCCTTCCCTCCCCTCCCCTCCCCTCCTCTCCCCTCCCCTCCCTTTCCTTCCCTTCCCTTCTTTTCTTTTATTTATTTTCTTTTCTTTTATTTATTCTTTTCTTTTCTTCTCTTTCTCTTTCTTTTATAGGGTCTCAGTTTGTCACCCAGGCTGGAGTGCAGTTGTGTGATCATGATTCACTGCAGCCTCAACCTTCTGGGCTTGAGTGGTCCTCCTGCCTCAGCCTCCTGAGTAGCTGGGACCACAGCATGTACCACCATGTCCTGCTAATTTTTAAATTTTTTAGAGACAGGGTTTTGCTATGTTGTTCAGGCTGGTCTCAAGCTCCCGGACTCAAGCAGTCCTCCTGCCTCAGCCTCCCAAAGTGCTGGAATTACAGGCAGGAGTCACTGCGCCCAGCCGATGCATTTCTTTAAGATAGGGAACATGACAATGTTACCTCCATTGTCCTTGAGGCCACTTACCTTTGTCCTCCCTGCCATATGTCCTGCTGCCAATTCCCCCCAACATTTGGCATACAATAGGAGGCTTCCAGCTCTATGCCAAGAGAGGAGGTACATGCAAGAGGTAAGAGCAGGAAGGGAAATAGCAAAATGATCAGTATTTCAGATGATATAATCATTTCTATTAAAAATTCAATAAAATTGGCTGGGTGGGGTGGCTCACACCTGTAATCCCAGCACTTTGGGAGGCCGAGGCAGGCAGATCACCTGAGGTCAGGAGTTTCAGACCAGCATGGCCAACATGGTGAAACCCCATCTCTACTAAAAATTAGCTGGGCATAGTGGCATGCGCCTGTATCTCTCACTATTTGCAACAGTAATAGTAATAGTGGGCTACTTCACTGAGCACAGCCAGAGCTGGGAGCTGGATGGTATGGAGGTCTCTCTAATTGAGGAGATGGAATTGAAAGTTCAGAGAAACCAAGGCAGGCAGAGTTTATAAGGCAGAGAACTGGAGAGGAGACAGCTGCACAAGTCAAGGCCTCCAGAGAGCTGCAGAGGGTGCCCCTAAGCTGCCCAGGGCTTACAGGGGAGACAAGCACCTAAGGCCAGGGAAAGAACTACCTGAAAGAAGCAGGCACAAGAATCCAAGCTCCCAAAGGGCTGGGAGTAGTTGATATTTTCAAAAGCTGGTGAGAAAAAATCATCCCAGAAAGGAATTGCCTCAGGAATAGAGAAAAACTAGCCTAGGACATCGAAGGTGACTCAGGTCCTATCTGGTAAATCTCCAAAGGATCAAACTGTTCCCAAGTAACTCAGCAGTGTCCTAGAACAGAGCTCAAGAATTTTTTAAAAATATAAGAATTTGGAAACTCAGTCTGAAAAAAAAAAAAAAGAATTAATACAGCAAACTTCTCTAGATCCAGGTAGATCATCTACTCCCCAGGTAGATATTCAATAAAGATTTACTGCTTGGCTCTTTGAAAGAAAGTGGCAGCAGGGCCTGGTGGCTCACACCTGTAATCCCAGCACTTTGGGAGGCTGAGGTGGGTGAATCACAAGGTCAGGAGTTCGAGACCAGCCTGGCCAATCTGGTAAAACCCCGTCTCTACTAAAAATACAAAAATTAGCTGGGCGTGGTGGCGGGCACCTGTAGTCCCAGCTACTCTGGAGGCTGAGGTAGGAGAATCACTTGAACCCGGGAGGCGGAGGTTGCAGTGAGCCAAGATTGCGCCACTGCACTCCAGCTTGGGTAACAGAGTGAAACTTTGTCTCAAAAAAAAAAAAAGTTAGTGAACTTAAAGACACATCAATAGAAACTTTAAAATGAAACAAAGAGAAAAAGCCTTTAAAAAAATGAACATAACATCACTAAGTGAAACAACTTTGCATACCTAATATACATGAAGCTGGAGTACTGGAAGAAGAGGGGAAAGAGAAGGGACATTTCTTTTTAAGAAATAATGGTGGGCTGGCATGGTAGCTCATGCCTGTGATCCCAGTACTTTGAGAGGCTAAGGCGGGTGGATCACTTGAGCCCAGGAGTTTTGAGGCCAGCCTGGGTAACATGACAAAACCCTGCTTCTACAAAAAATACAAAAAAATTAGCCAAGAGTGGTGACGCATGCCTGTAGTTCCAGCTACTTGGGAGGCTAAGGTGGAAGGATTGCTTGAGCCTGTAGTCAGAGGTTACAGTGAGCTGAGATCTCACCACTGCACTCCAGCCTAGGCTACAGAGTGAGACTCTATCTTAAAAGAAAGAAAGAAAGAAAAGGAATAATTGTCAAAAATTTTCTGAATTTGATGAAAGCTATAAACCCACAGATCCAAGAAGTTCCGTGAACCCCAAGCAAAAGATAGAAACAAAAAACCTACATTAAGTCACAAGTATAATAAAAATACATAAAACTAGTGTTAAAGAGAAAATCTAAACAGCTGTAACAGATACTTGATATAATTTGTCCAGAGGGATAAAAATAAGAATGACAGCTCACTTCTTGCCAAAATTTTGTTATATGAGATGAATTGTGCTTAGCTGTGTTTTGTGTTTTTGTGTTTTGGTTTTTGGTGTTTTTTGAGGCAGAGTCTCACTTTGTTGCCCAGGCTGGAATGCAGTGGCATAATCTCGGCTCACTGCAACCTCTGCCTCCTGGGTTCAAGCGATTCTCCTGCCTCAGCCTCCTGAGAAGCTGGAATTACAGGCACGTGCCACCATGCCCATCTAATTTTTGTATTTTTAGTAGAGACGAGGTTTCACCATGTTGGTCAGGCTGGTCTTGAAGTCCCGACCTCAGGTGATCCGCCCACCTCGGCCTCCCAAAGTGCTGGGATTACAGGCATGAGCCACTGCGCCTGGCCTACTGTGTTTTGTGTTTAACTGAGTTTTCCATTCCTAAGAGCAGAAGACATCCTTCCTGATGGAATAGTGCTTTGTATATATCTGGTAAATTATGCAGAATACACATTTATTTTACCGTCTTAGTTTTTACTGCAGAGGAGGAAAATAATGATACATTTTCTGTTACTCATTTAGTAGAAATTTCCTACTTAAAGAAATAATACGCCAGACGCGGTGGCTCACGCCTGTAATCCCAGCACTTTGGGAGGCCAAGGCAGGCAGATCATGAGGTCAGGAGATCGAGACCATACTGGCTAACACGGTGAAACCCCGTCTCTACTAAAAATACAAAAAATTAGCCAGGCGTGGTGGCGGGCGCCTGTAGTCCCAGCTACTCGGGAGACTGAGGCAGGAGAATGGTGTGAACCCGGGAGGCGGAGCTTGCAGAGAGCTGAGATGGCGCCACTGCACTCCAGCCTGGGTGATAAGGCAAGACTCCGTCTCAAAAAAAAAAAAAAAAAAAGAAATAATAAATTAAGAACATGATCCTTTTTAAAAATTATTTCTTGAGATGGAGTCTCACTTTGTCACCCAGGCTGGAGTGCAGTGGGCCTATCTTGGCTCACTGCAACCTCCACCTCCCAGGTTCAAGCGATTCTCCTACCTCAGCCTTCTAAGTAACTGGGATTACAGGCACCCACCACCACGCCTGGCTTATTGTAGACAATGATCCATTTACGGGCAACACAAATATATGATAGTGGTGACAGTCATAATTAGTGTTTTGTGACTGCCTTTGTATAGAACTTTAGTAGGGATTTCATAGATATAATCTAAATGACATATCCTCAATATCTGTGCTCCTTTTCTTTTTTGAGATAAAGTTTCACCCCGTTACCCAGGCTGGAGTGCAGTGGCTCAATCATAGCTCAAGCAGTCCTCCTGTATAGTTGGGACTGTGCGCACATGCCACTGCACCCTGATTTTATATATATATGTTTTGTTTTGTTTTGTTTTGTTTTTAAGAAGGAGTTTCACTCTTGTTGCCCAGGCTGGAGTGCAATGGCATGATCTTGGCTCACTGCAACCTCTGCCTCCCGGGCTCAAGTGATTCTCCTGCCTCAGCCTCCTGAGTAACTCGGGTTACTGGCGCCCCCCACCACACCCGGCTAATTTTTGTATTTTTGTTAGAGATGGGTTTTCACCATGTTGGCCAGGCTGGTCTTGAGCTCCTGACCTCAGGTGATCCACCTGCCTCAGCCTCCCAAACTGCTGGGATTACAGTTGTGAGCCATCGTGCCCGGCTTTTTTATTTTATTTTATTTTTAGTAGAGATGAAGTCTTGTTATGTTGCCCAGGTTGGTCTTGAACTCCTGGGCTCAAGCAATCCTCTTGCCTTGGCCTCCCAAAATGTCAGGATTATAGGTGTCAACCACTGTGCCCAGGCATTTTTCCTTTTCTAGTAACAAGAATCCTGATTTTTTTGCTGGGCACCTGGCTGTGAACACTACAATGCTCAGCCCCTCTTACAGCTGGAGTGGGCACCTTCTGGAAATCATCCTTCCCTTTCTCCTCTTTCTCCTGGCCAGCACGCAGAGGAGCAGGCCAGGGCTGAGACAGCTGGCATGGACCACCTGAGGCCATGGAGTGACGTGCAGCCAAGAGCCTGACAGAGGAGTCAGGGTCCCTCACCCAGGGATGGCAGAACCAGCCTTGATTTTATCTAAGGGAGAGATGGACTTCTATCTGCTCAAGCCACTGATTGTTGGCATTTTCATTACTTGCTGCTGAACCTTATCTTCATTAATACAAATAGGTTGTCATTATATATTTTCTTTTTTCTTTTTTTCTTTTTTTTTTTTTTTTGTTTCAGAGTCTCGTTCTGTTGCCAGGCTGGAGTGCGGTGGCGCAATCTCGCCTCACTGCAACCTCTGCCTCCCGGGTTCAAGCAATTCTCCTACCTCAGCCTCCCAAGTAGCTTGGATTACAGGCACCCACCACTACGCCCGGCTAACTTTTGTATCTTTTTGTAGTAGAGATAGGGTTTCACCATGTTGGCCAGGCTGGTCTCGAACTCCTGACCTTGTGATCTGCCCACCTCGGCCTCCCGAAGTGCTGGGATTACAGGTGTGAGCCACTGTGCCAGGCTGTCATTATTTATTTCCTAAAGGCATTAGACAAGTTCCTAAGACATGGCAAAATTTGAATATGAACCAGGTCTGTTTTCTGTAAAACTTTGTTATTTTCAGTAAATTATTCTTCTTACCACTAATGTTTACAAAAATGGCAGCTGTATACTATTAAAGATTTGCAGAGAATACAAAGTCAAAATATCAGTAGCCACTGAGAGCTTTAACTGAAGCTCTCAGATAAATATTTAAAGACCTAGGACTTTTAAAGGGACTATTTACAGTGGAATAGTGTCATAAACTGAATTTTGAAAAAACAAACAGAAAGTGTAAAAGAAAGCTCTCCAAGGGACCAATACTTTAATTTCAGGAGTGTTCTCATCCTTTGTAACATGGTATTTTCTATATAGTGTGAAAGGAAAATAAATCTTGGGACCCCAAAATTACTAAGCCAAGGAAAAAGTCAGGCTGGGAAGTGTCAGGCAAACCTGCTTCCCATTTTATTCCTAAATAAGATAGTTACAAAGATAAAAAAGCTATATACCTCATGTAATCATGATTGTGGTATTTTTATTTCTTATTTATTTATTTATCTTTTTGAGATGGAGTCTTGCTGTGTCGCCCAGGCTGGAGTGCAGCGGCGCAATCTCGGCTCACTGCAAGTTCCGCCTCCCGGGTTCACGCCATTCTCCTGCCTCAGCCTCCCGAGTAGCTGGGACTATAGGCGCCCGCCACCACGCCTGGCTCTTTTTTTTGTATTTTTAGTAGAGACGGGGTTTCACCGTGTTAGCCAGGATGGTCTCGATCTCCTGACCTCGTGATTCACCTGCCTTGGCCTCCCAAAGTGCTGGGATTACAGGCATGAGCCACCACACCTGGCCTGATTGTGGTATTTTAAAAAAAAAAGAAAAAAGAAAAAAAGTAAATTAGAAAAAAGCTACATGGCTGGGTGTGGTGGCTCACGCCTGTAATCCCAGCACTTTGGGAGGCCGAGGCAGGCAGATCACAAGGTCAGGAATTTGAGACCAGCCTGACCAACATGGTGGAACCCTGTCTCTACTAAAAAAATACAAAAATTAGCTAAGCGTGGTGGCGCACACCTGTAATCCCAGCTACTTAGGAGGCTTGAACTCGGGAGGCGGAGATTGCAGTGAGCCAAGATTGCACCACGGCACTCCAGCCTGGGCAACAGAGCAGACTCTGTCTTAAAAATAAATAAATAAAAATAAATAAATAAAAGCTACATACCTTCCTCACAATTTGCCCCCAGAGAAATTCCTTGTGGGCCTCAAGATCTTTACCCTAAAACAGTTCTGTTGAATTTCACCCTGGCAATGTAAATTGATAGCTTATCTTTACAGATGAGGGACCGTCCCTCTGCTCACCTGAGACAAAGGCATATCTGATTGCTTCCTCTACTGGTTATGTAAAAATGCAGATTCACTGAGTCATGCTCAGTTATGTATTCAGTGAAAGGCTGATCAAGGACTCCAAAGAATGCAACCTTTTTTTTTTTTTTTTTTTGAGACAGAGTCTGGCTCAGTTGCCCAGGCTGGAGTGCAGTGAGGAGATCTCGGCTCACTGCAGCCTCTGCCTCCCAGGTTCAAGTAATTCTCCTGCCTCAGCCTCCTGAGAAGCTGGGACTAAAGGTGCACCACCATATCCAGCTAATTTTTGTATTTTTTTGGTAGAGAAGGGGTTTCCCTGTGTTAGCCAGGTTAGTCTTGATCTCCTGGTCTCAAGTGATTCCCCCTGCCTTGGCCTCCCAAAGTGCTGGGATTACAGGTGTGAGCCAATGTGCCCGGACTAGAATGCAGTCTTTTGTCTCTTATCTACCTGGACCTGGAAGCCCCAATTTTGAGTTGTCCTGCCTTTTGGGACCAAACCAATGTACATCTTTTTTTCATTTTTTATTTTTTTGAGATGGAGTTTCGCTCTTGTTGCCCACGCTGGATTGCAATGGCACGATCTCAGCCAACTGCAACCTCCGCCTCCCGGGTTCAAGCGATTCTCCTGCCTCAGCCTCCTGAGTAGCTGGGACTACAGGCGCCCGCCACCATGCCTGTTTAATTTTGTATTTTTAGTATACACGGGGTTTCTCCACGTTGGTCAGGCTCAAACTCCCGACCTCAGGTGATCCACCTGCCTCGGCCTCCCGACCTCAGGTGATCCACCCACCTCGGCCTCCCAAAGTGCTGAGATTACAGGCATGAGCCACCGGGCCCGGCCAAACCAATATACATCTTACACATATTGATTGATGTCTCATGTCACTCTAAAATGTATAAAAGCAAGCTGTATCCTGACCATTCTGGCATATGTCCGCAGGACCTCCTGAGGCTGTCTCACGAGTGGTCATTAGCCTTGGCAAAATCAACTTTCTGAAATGACTGAGACCTGTCTCAGATATTTTGGGTTGACAATACACACACACACACACACACACACACACACACACACACAGAGTTTTGGTGACAGGGTTAGAGAAAAATAATATCTACTTTCATGGCTTACAACTCTGGTTTTACAACAGAAGTAAAAAAAATTTTATTCTAATAGCATGATTTATCTTTGCCAATTTTTGAAAATTTTTATTTTATTTTATTTTATTTTTTGGAGAGAAGTGCACAGTCATAGCTCATCAGAACAGAATATCTTACCAGGAGGCATGTCACCCTTGTCTCCTTAAAACCTTTCCCCGCACACACACAAAACACTCTCATTTTGGATTTTGTGCCTATGTTCATGTCATTCCCTCTGTTTGCAATTGCTTTCTTTCCCACCAATCAACTAACTGCGCTAATTACTAAGTCTTGATCTTCTCCTCCATGAAGGCTTCCTGGATTGGTCTAGTCTACAACAGTAGTTCTCAAAGCACAGTACGGCAGCAGCAGTGTCACCTGGGACTGGAAATTCACTCCTGCAACCCCAGACCTACTGAGCTGGCAACCCTGGGGGGCCCAGCACTCTGTGTCATTGAGTCTAAGATGCTTTTGATGTGACTCAGATTAGCTTGTCACTGCTCTAAGGCCATATTGATCCCTCCCTTCTCTGGGTCCCCATGCCACGTACAGTTCACAGTACATCACTTGGAGCTGAATCCCCTTTTAAAGAATTGTTATAGTAGGCTTCCCTAGATTCAGGTAGATTGTCTACTCCCCAGGTAGATATTCAATAAAGATTTAGTGCTTGGCTCTTTGAAAGAAGGTGGTGGCTCATGCCTGTAATCCCAGCACTTTGGGAGGCCAAGGTGGGCGGATCACAAGGTCAGGAGTTCAAACCCGCCTGCCCAATCTGGTGAAACCCCATCTCTAAAAAAAATACAAAAATTAGCTGGGTGTGGCAGCGCATAACTGTAATCCCAGCTACTTGGGAGGCTGAGGCAGGAGAATCGCTTGAACCTGGGAGGCGGAGGTTGCAATGAGCTCAGATTGTGCCATAGCACTCCAGGCTGGGCAACAAGAGTGAAACTTTGTCTCAAAAAAAAAAAAAAAAAATTGAATGCTAAAGGTCACCGCAGCAATCAATGTCATCTTCTGTTGCTGTGGATGTTTATGTTATTATTATTATTATTATTGAGACAAAGTCTCGCTCTGTGGCCCAGGTTGGAGTGCAGTGGTGTGATCTTGGCTCCCTGCAACCTCCACCTCCCGGGTTCAAGCAATTCTCGAGCCTCAGCCTCGCAAATAGCTGGGACTACAGGCCCGACTGATTTTTGTATTTTAGTAGAGACGGGGTTTCACTATGCTGCCCAGGCTGGTCTGTAACTCCTGGCCTCAAGGGATCTGCCCACCTCGGCCTCCCAAAGTGCTGGCATTACAGGCATGAGCCACCACGCTCGGCTGGATGTTCATATTAACACAAGATGCTGTATCAAGACCCACGCGATACTGAACAGACATGACCCTTATCCTTACATGTGAAGATGTGGAATGGTCCTCTCAGGTACATGACTCCACAGGGAATGTATATATTGTCATAATAATTCTACTTACTAACTTTGATTGAGCACCTATTGTGTGCCAGGTAATGTTCTCAGCAGGACTAGCTGCATAATTTGCAGGGCTCAGGGCAAAATGAAAACACAGGGCTCCTTGTTCGAACAGCAGAGAAAAGTGCTGTTAAAGGTACCAAGTACAGGCCGGGCACAGTGGCTTGCGCCCATAATCTCAGCACTCTGGGAGGCTGAGCTGGGAGGATCGTGTGAGCTCAGGAATTTGAGACCAGCCTGGGCAACGTAGTGAGACCTCATCTCTACTTCAGAAAAAAAAAAAATCAGCTAGGCGTGGTGTTGTGCACCTAGTCCCAGCTACTCAGGAGGCCAAGGTGGGAGGCCTGAGCCCGGGAGTTCAAGGCTGCAGTGAGCTATTACTGCACCACAGCATGCCAGCCTGGGCAACTGAGCAAGACCCTGTCTTAAAAAAAAAAAAGGGTACCAAATACAAAGTATTCTTTTTTTCATGATCTATCTGTGTAACTGTCCTGTTTGTAAATCTTCTGTTGAATATTATACTCCCTGCAGCATCAAGGATG
The DNA here is from genome assembly GCF_000001405.40 of Homo sapiens. NCBI lineage: Eukaryota > Metazoa > Chordata > Mammalia > Primates > Hominidae > Homo > Homo sapiens. The sequence continues at coordinate 152,503,273 of NC_000007.14, forward strand.
CTCCTGGAGGAGTGGGGACGCTCCCAAGGGCTGGGGTCCCTGCCCTACCATTCTGTGTTCACAGGCGCATCCATCTGCCACTGAGCCCCACTCTGACTAGCCACTAGACCAATGCACCATGCCCTGGCTAGGGGCCAGGAGCCTACCACCCAATCTGTGGCAGAGAGGTCACCCTCCAAGGCATTGCAAAGTTTGCACCAGCACACACTAGGTACCTGGGTAGGCAGCAGGCAAGAGGCTTGCCCCCACCGGGGGTGCTCGGGAGCATGCTGTGTGCTCAAGACACCAGGGAACACGTGCCTTACCCTGATCCTCCTGCACCCACACTCAGGCCCTGCCCAGAGTGAAGGGTGGCCAGGTGGCCAGGTGGGAGTGGGGAGGGGGCCATGGAACCCAGGGTGCAGGGGACAGGGGAATGGGCAGTCAGGAACCTGCCAGGGGGAGGCAGGGAGGTGGGACCACACACTGCACTACAAGTCCATGATGCATGCGCACTCCATTGCCCTGTGGGAACAGAAATTCAAAGACAAAATCATTAAGAATTTCAGGCTGGGTGCAGTGGCTCATGCTTGTAATCCCAGCACTTCGGGAGGCTGAGGCAGATCTCATGAGGTCAAGAGTTCGAGACCAGCCTGGCCAACATGGTGAAACCACATCTCTACTAAAAATACAAAACTTAGCTGGGTGTGGTGGCACGCACCTGTAATCCCAGCTACTCAGGAGGCTGAGGCAGGAGAATCACTTGAACCTGGGAGGCGGAGGTTACAGTGAGCCGAGATCGTGCCATTGCACTCCAGTCTGGGTGACAAGAACAAAACTCCATATCAAAAAAATAAAAAATAAAGAATTTCAAGATGATGACTGCAGAACATTCAGTCCCAAGTGTGGGACCCTTTTGAGCATGGGGACGCTGTGTCACGGCACTAACAGCATACCCCTGAAGCCAGCCTCGTTCTGAGACTTTTGTGAGACTTATTAAATCTCCACGCAAGCCTATAAGGGTATTGTCCCCAATTAGCAGACAAGGAAGTTGAGGCATAGACAAGTGGCCTGCCCAAGATTGCTTAGCTGGGCGGATGGGTGGGGTGATACCAGCCCAGTCTCACCCACATCTGCCTGCTTCACCTTGCTCATTGCTGCTCTTCAGAGAATATTTGCAGAGCAATAGAAATTCAGAAGGACAGCCAAATAGTTACAGCTCATGCTCGTCCAGTTGGCATTAAAGCTCTGTCCTCACTGCAGTCCCCACCCCCCACCAATGGTTTGTTGATCCTCTCCCATAGCAGAAGCAGGAACACTGAAACCATGATAGGTATGAGCTCAGGAGACGTTCCCAGGAGATCTGCCTATGGCCTTGGGGAAAACTGGTAGAGCTGGTTGGAGCTGGCCCTCTCCCCAGCTGCCTTCCACAATTAGCTCAGGGGGCACACTTAGTCCCTCCTGGAGGTTTCACGACCTGGCACCAGATGCAGACCCTGGTCAGCTCTGTTAAGGAAGGACTCTGTGAGCAGGTGCTGGTGTCAGCCAGGACTTGGGGTAATCTTCTAGAACTTTACTGTAGTTTTTTCAGTGTCCACACTTCCTGGAATTCGTCTAGTTTATTTCACTGAAAGTGGGCAGGATCTTTGAAAAGACACTCTCAAAAGAATTGGATTCCCCTTATCTATTCAGCATTTCCTTTGTCACCAAAGTGATCAGTCAGAAGTAGTTAGAAAGTAGCCCCAACACGGCCGGGCACAGTGGCTCACGCCTGTAATCCCAGGACTTTGGGGGGCCGAGGCGGGTGGAGCACGAGGTCTGGAGTTCTTAGACCAGCCTGGCCAACATGATGAAACTCTGTCTCTCCTGACAATACAAAAATTAGCTGAGTGTGATGGCAGGCGCCTGTAATCCCACATACTCAGGAGGCTGAGGCAGGAGGATCGCTTGAACCCGGGAGGTGGAGATTGCAGTGAGCTGAGATTGCACCACTGCACTCCAGCCTGGGCGACAGAATGAGATTCTGTCTCAAAAAAAAAAAAAAAAAAAAAGTAGCCTCAAAAATTTAGACAAACTAGTGGTGTGCTGGTAATTGTTTTGTAAACAGCTCTCTGGAATACATTTTTTTTTTCTTTTTTTTTTTTGAAGCGGAGTCTCATTGTTGCCCAGACCTGAGTCCAGTGGCCTGATCTTGGCTCACTGCAACCTCTGCCTCCTGGGTTCAAGTGATTTTCCTGTCTCAGCCTCCTGAATAGCTGGGATTACAGGTGCCTGCCACCACACCTGGCTAGTTTTTGTATTTTTAGTAGAGATGGGGTTTCACCATGTTAGCCAGGCTGGTCTCGAACTCCTGACCTCAGGTGAGCTGTCCTGCTTGGCCCCCCAAAGTACTGGAATTACAGGTGCCACCGTGCCTGGCCTGGAATACATTTTTTTCAAAGGTGCTGTTTGTAGCTTTTAATGATTTCTATGGTGCTGATATTCCACTAAAACAAATTTCAGGCTACCAGGGTGATATCTCCCTGGTTGCAAAATCCCTGAAATTTTGCCAGTCTGCTCCTGCAGGCTGGTAAGACCCAATGTGTTTCCGTCCAGCACACCTCTTGACATGGACCTTCCATCAAGGACACCAAAGTGCTTTAGGTGAGTGTCCTAATTGTTCCAGTGATTTGGGGGCAAGCTGGAACAAGGAAAAAGAGCTATAATACAGTCATATCAATTTTACAGCTGAGCATACTGAGGTTCCAACACATAATATTTTGCCGCGGGTGCCCCAGCAAAGGCCCAAGCCTTAGATAAGGAGGCTGTTGAACAGCTTCCAGCTGAGACCATGTCACATGGCTGAGGTATGGAGATGGCTAAGGTGTGCCACCCTAGAGGCTATAGTCTTTAGGAAGGAAAGACCTTGAGAACAAGAGGAAGTAGTGACCAGATGCCTAAGTGGCGTGATTGATTGATTGATTGATTTTGAGATGGAGTTTCATTCACTCTTGTCGCCCAGGCTGGAGTGCAGTGGCATGATGTTGCTCGCTTTAACTTTGGCCTACCAGGCTCAAGCGATTCTCCTGCATCAGCCTCCCTAGTAGTTGGGATTACAGGCTCCCGCTACCGCGTCCAGCTAATTTTTTTGTATTTTTTGTAGAGACGGAGTTTCATCATGTTGGCCTGGCTGGTCTCGAACTCCTGAGCTCAGGTGATCCACCCGCCTCGGCCTCCCAAAGTGTGGGGATTATTATTATTATTACTGAGACGGAGTCTCGCTCTGTTGCCCAGGCTAGAGTGCAGTGGCACGATCTCAGCTCACTGCAACCTCCACCTCCCAGGTTCAAGCGATTCTCCTGTCTCAGCCTCCCGAGTAGCTGGGATTAGAGGCATACGCCATCACGTTTGGCTAATTTTTGTCTTTTTAGTAGAGATGGGCTTTCACCATGTTGGCCAGGCCGGTCTTGAACTCCTGACCTCAAGTGATCTGCCCCCCTCGGCCTCCCAAACTTCTGGGATTACAGGCGCGAGCCACTGCTCCCGGCCATTGTTTTTGAGACAAGATCTCTGTCATCCAGACTGGAGTGCAGTCGCATGATCATGGCTCACTGTAGCCTCAATCTCCTGGGCTCAAGCAATCCTCCCGTCTCAGCCTCCTGAGTAGCTGGGACCACAAGTGTGTACCACCACGACCGGCTAATTTTTTTGTTTTTTTATTTTTTAGTAGATATGAGGTCTGTCTATGTTGTGCAGGCTGGTCTCAAACTCCTGAGCTCAAGTATGCTCCTGCCTTGGCCTCCCAAAGTGCTGGAATTACAGGCATCAGCCACCGTACCTGGCCTACCCGGTGTGATTTGAAAGATGCTGCGAAATTCTCAGAGGAGGGATAGATGCTCTAGGCCTCTCCTCCATACTCAGGAGAGATAACATGGGGATGGTGGCAAAAAGAATCAAGTGACTTCAACAATTTCATTTAGTTGTAGAAAAAGCATTGACCCTGGCTGGGTGTGGTGGCTCACGCCTGTAATCCCAGCACTTTGGGAGGCCGAGGCAGGCGGATCATGAGGTCAGGAGATCGAGACCATCCTGGCTAACACAGTGAAACCCCTCTCTACTAAAAATACAAAAAATTAGCTGAGCGTGGTGGCATGTGCCTGTAGTTCCAGCTACTCGGGAGGCTGGGGCAGGAGAATTGCTTGAACCCGGGAGGCAGAGCTTGCAGTGAGCCAAGATTGCACCACTGCAGTCCAGCCTGGGTGACCGATCAAGACTTCGTCTCAAAAAAAAAAAAAAAAAAGAAAAAAAAGAAAAAAAAAAAGCAATGACCCATAAAGAAAGAGCCTGTTTGCTCCTATATATTTAAATCACATTTGGCCGGGTGCGGTGGCTCACACCTGTAATCCCAGCACTTTGGGAGGCTGAGGTGGGCAGATCACTTGAGTCCAGGAGTTCAAGACCAGCCTGGCCAACATGGTGAAACCCCATCTTTAATAAAAATACAAAAGTTAGCCGGGTGTGGTGGTGCGTGCCTGTTATCCCAGCTGCTTGGGAGGTTGAGGCATGAGAGTTGCTTGAACTTGGGAGGCGGAGGTTGCAAGATCATGCCATTGCACTCCAGCCTGGGCAACAGAGTGGGACTCTGTCTCAAAAAAATAAAAAATAAAAACAAATAAATAAATAACTCACATTTGACTGCCAGCTGGATTTCTCTTGAGTTTTTCTCCTATCACCCCTCCTCCAATATTCTTACTAGTATCACCATCGTTACCAGTATTCATCGTATATATTCTCAGAGTTTTCTTTAATCAAACTTGGCCTTGCTAGCTCTTAGAAAGAGTTTCCATTAGGGCAACATTACTATCAAATATCTTTTTTTTTTTTTTTTTTTTTTTTTTGAGACGGTCTCACTCTGTCACCCAGGCTGGAGTGCAGTGGTGCTATCTCAGCTCACTGCAACCTTGGCCTCCTGGGTTCAAGCGCTTCTCGTGCCTCAGCCTCCCGAGTAGCCGGGACTACAGGCATGCGCCACCAGATTCAGCTAATTTTTGTATTTTTTGGTAGAGACAAGGTTTCACCATGTTGGCCAGGCGGTTTCACCATGTTGGCCAGGCTGGTCTTGAACTCCTGACCTCAAGTGATCCGCCCACCTCGTCTTCCCAAAGTGCCAGGATTACGGTTGTGAGCCACCACGCCCAGCCCCAAATATCTCTTTATATAGCTATGGGTGGCTACGAGGGACACATTTGATGGAATGCGATCCGAGGCCTCTGGAGAGATTTTTCATGGGCATGTATCTGTTGGGAAGAACCTCAGGGTGGAGGCCATTCCTCTTTCTAAATTAGCTAGTGTAGAAGACAGGGCAAAGTTCTCATAAAATTTCTAACATCGACGAGAGTGTTGGCATTAGAAATGAGAAGACAGAAAAAGTATGAAAATGCAAAAATGGAAAATGTACATAAATACAAAATTTTATTAAATAGTATTCATTGATTTTAAATGTATACAACATGCTTGTTGGTATTTAAAAATAGAATGATGGAGGATGATTTGGTGGGAGTAATTGTTTGAAAAAAAAATCAATTTAACATCACTTTGCTTTCCACTTCTGCTGCCAAGAAATCTCAGGCAGTATCTTCTAATTCAAACATAAGTGTCTCCAGAAACCTTTGGATCACATATTACAAAGCCCCATCTGTTTTACCCTCTCAAAATTAGCATTTTAGCTTAATTCACTTATACATTTTCTGACATTAGCTTGATTCTTCTCTTCTTCCTTTTTGTCATCTTAAATCACACCTGGCATCTTTTAGATTTGGATTCAACTGAAAAAATAATTTTTAGCTATTTTAAGTCCTTTTTAGTAGTAAGCAGAGTGTAAATAAAATTTAAAGCATAATGATGCAAACATATATACAGCTAATGTTTCTTGCAGGATTGTTTACAATAGCAAAAACTGGAAACAAATGTCTATGGATTGAGAGGTGGTTAAAACAATAATTGCTAAATCATTAATAATTCTTAAAAGGAGTGAAATATATATGTGTGTGTATATATCTATATCCTGATATGTATGCAAGGCTGTATATGATCTATGTAAGTGGAAAAAAGCAAGTTGAAAAAACAGCAAACAGATAGTTTTATATGTTGAAAAAAATCAAGGCTGTTCAAAAAAGGTATCTTTGTGTAAGGGCATAGAAAGTAGCTTGCAAGGCACACACTAAGTGAGGAATGTGATTTGCTCTGGAGGGGAACAGGGTAAAGGCAAAGGTGGCAAGGGGACAGTCCCATTTTTCCCGTCGGCTTCTGGTATGCTTGAATTTTCTACAATATGAATGTGTGGGCCGGCGTGGTGGCTGATCACAAGGTCAAGAGTTTTAGATCAGACTGACCAACATGGTGAAACCCTGTCTCTACTAAAAATACAAAAATTATCCAGACATGGTGGCGTGTGCTTGCAGTCCCAGCGACTCGGGAGGCTGAGGCAGAAGGATCGCTTGAACCTGGGAGAGCGGTTGTAGTGAGCTGAGATCGTGCCACTGCACTCCAGCCTAGGCGACAGAGTGAGACTCCGTTTAAAAAAAAAAGTGTGCATGTATGTGTTATTTTGCAATTAGAAAGTCCAAACCAAGGCCAGGCATGGTGGCTCATGCCTGTAATCCCAGCATTTTGGGAGGCAGAGGCAAGAGGATCACTTGAGCCCAGGAGTTCAAGACCAGACTGGGCAACATGGCAAAACCCCATCTCTACAAAAAAAAAAAAAAATTAGCAGAGTTTGGTGGCTCATGCCTGTAGTCCCAGCTATGCGGGAGGCTGAGATGGGAGGATTACTTGAGCCCAGCAGGTAGGGGCTCCAGGGAACTGTGTTCACACCATTGCACTCCAGCCTGGGTGCCAGAGGGAGACCCTGTCTCAAAAAAAGAAAAAAAAAATCCAAAGCAAAAACTATTAAATGACCAAGCATATATAATAAAATAACACATGTCACAAGGGCCATCACAAATTTCTGAAGGTTTCCTTTCTACTCCTATTTTGAATCATTTCCTACTCAAGGCAAAATAAAAAGAATTTTTAAAAAAAATTTTAAAAATAGAGATGGGGCTGGGCGGGGTGGCTCACACCAGTAATCCTAGCATTTTGGGAGGCCGAGGTGGATGGATTGCCTGAACTCAGGAGTTTGAGATCAGCCTGGGCAACATGGCAAAACCCCATCTCTACTAAAAATACAAAAAAAATAGCTGGGCATTCTGGCGTGCACCTGTAATCCCAGATACTTGGGAGGATGAAGCAGGAGAATTGCTTGAGCCTGGGAGGTGGAGGTTGCAGTGAGCCGAGATCGTGCCACTGCACTCCAGCCTAGGCAACAGCACACACACAAAAATCATAATAAAATAAATAAACAGAAATAGAGATGGGGTTTCGTCATGTTGCCCAGGCTGGTCTTGAACTCCTGGGCTCAAGTGATCTGCCCACCTTGGCCTCCGAAAGTGCTGGGATTACAGGTGTGAGCCACCGAACCCAACCAAAAAGAAAAAACTTAAAACACATACAAGAGAGGAACTTTATTAGTATTGAAGATAACGAGTGTATAACTATCTATCTAGTAAGCATAAAGAGATGTTAATTTTCAGTAGAATACAAGATAGAGGTAATATATATTTGTGTGTGTACAATTTTGTTTTGTTTATGGGGAGGACATTTTCTTCACCATCATCATCATCATCATAGTCATTGATGTCATGTCAACTGCCATTACTGTATGGCAGGCAATGCCTTAAGTTTACTTTTATTAACTCACCTAATCTTAACTACAGCCCAATTAGGAAGGTTCTATGGTTATTCCCATTTTACAGGTGAGAAACTGAAGCAGAGAGAGGTTAAGGAACTCGGCCAGGGTTACACAGCTTGTAAGTGGGGGAGCTGGGATTCAAATCCAGGCAGGATGAATCCAGAGTCCATGCTCCTAACCTCAACTCTACACGCGAGAAGCCAAATGAACACATTCATTCGTATGCAGGTATCTCTCTGGGGTGGAGAGTCCTGTGTTCCTGCAGAGGCTCGTCCAGCACCATCTCCTCTGCATGCCAAGTCTTCCCTCAGCAATTTCTCAACACACCCTCACCTTTTTTAGAGACAGAGTCTCACTCTCTTGCCGAGGCTGGAGTGCAGCGGCACCATCATAGCTTACTGCAGCCTTGAACTCCTAGGTTCAAGCAATCCCCCTGCCTCAGCCTGGCATTACAGGCACGTGCCACCACGCCTGGCTAATTTTTTATTTTTTTGAGACAGAGTCTTGCTCTGTTGCCCAGGCTGGAGTGCAATGGCACGATCTCACTGCAACCTCCACCTCCTGGGTTCAAGCAATTCTTCTGCCTCAGCCTCCCGAGTAGCTGAGACTACAGGTGTGTGCCACCACGCCCAGCTAATTTTTGTATTTTTAGTAGAGATGGGATTTCACCTTATTGGCCAGGCTGGTCTCGAACTCCTGACCTCGTGATCCATCTGCCTCAGCCTCCCCAAGTGCTGGGATTACAGGCATGAGCCAGCACGCCTGGCTTTTTTTTTTTTTTTTTTTAACTTTTTGTAGGCACAGGGTCTTGCTATGTTGCCTAGTCTGGTCCTGAACTCCTGACCTCAAGTGACCCTCCTGACTCACCCTCCCAAAGTGCTGGAATTATAGGCGTGAGCCACTGCACTCAGCCTACTTCTCCCTTTTACACAATCCACTTTTCCTTGGTATCCTCCCACCTCAGCCTTCCGAAGTGTTGGGATTATAGGCGTGAGTCACTGCAACCGGCCCCTGTTCCTTGTTTTTTGTTTTTGTTTTATTTTTATTTTGGTCCTGCACTTGGTTGAGGAGATAAGCTTGCCTTGAGAAGCAATTATAAAAAAGAGAGGAACACCAGAGAAATGGGGGTCTCAGAGTTGTGATGGTGGTTTGGGGCAAGGAATAGGAAGTAAGGAGGTCACCATGGGACACTGGTGATAGAAGCAGAGGGGAAAGGCTGGGCGCAGTGGCTCACGCCTGTAATCCCAGCACTTTGGGAGGCCGAGGCAGGTGGATCACGACGTCAGGAGATCGAGACCATCCTGGCTAACATGGTCAAAGCCTGGCTCTACTAAAAATACAAAAAATTAGCTGGGCGTGGTGGCGGGCGCCTGTAGCCCCAGCTACTCAGGAGGCTGAGGCAGGAGAATGGCGTGAAACCCGGGAGGCGGAGCTTGCAGTGAGCTGACATCGCGCCACTGCACTCCAGCCTGGGCGACAGAGTGAGACTCTGTCTCAAAAAAAAAAAGAAAAAGAAAAAAAAAAAAAGAAGTGGAGGGGAAACTAGCCCGGGCGTGGTGGCTCACACCCGTAATCCCAGCACTTTGGGAGGCTAAGGCAGGTGGATCATCTGAGGTCAGGAGTTTGAGACCAGCCTGGCCAACATGGTGAAACCCCATCTCTACTAAATACAAAAATTTAGCCAGACGTGGTGGCACATGCCTGTAATTTCAGCTACTCAGGAAGCTGAGGAGGGAGAATCGCTTAAACCCAGGAAGTGGAGGTTGCAGTGAGCTGAGATTGTGCCATTGCACTCCAGCCTGGGCAACGAGAGCAAAACTCTGTGTCAAAAAAAAAAAAAGTGGAGGGGAAACTAGACAGGAAAGCTATGACTTAGTAATTAATCAGCAGCAGCAGCAGGTGCAGGAACAACCCTTAGGCTTTCTCGTATGTGGTTTTGTTGAACTAGCTCTGTAGCGGAGGACTGTACCTATCACTTTTTGTAGATAAAAAGGAAGTAGGTGAAGTTGAATGATGAGCAATCAAAAATAAAATAAAAAGGAAGTAGAAGTCAGCTTCCAAACTCAAGGAATTTTTTTTTTTTTTTGAGATGGAGTCTTGCTCTGTCACCCAGGCTGGAGTGCAGTGGCACGATCTTGGCTTACTGCAACCTCTGCCTCCCGGGTTCAAACTATTCTCGTGCCTCAGCCTCCCGCGTAGTTAGGATTACAGGCGCCCACCACCACAGCCGGATTTTTTCTTTTTTTTGTATTTTTAGTAGAGAGAGGGTTTCGCCATGTTGCCCAGGCTGGTCTCAAACTCCTGAGCTTAGGCAATCTGCTCGCCTCGGCCTCCCAAAGTGCTGGGATTACAGGCGTGAGCCATCACACCCAGCTGAAACTCAAGGTATTTATAATTTATGGTAATATGATAATGATATCCACAGATGAACACAGAAAGAAATAGATGATAGATAGACAGATAGAGCTAATTGCCAGTAAAGAAACAAATACTGGCCAGGTACAGTGGCTAACGCCTGTAAACCCAGCACTTTGGGAGGCCGAGTCAAGCAGATCACCTGAGGTCAGGAGTTTGACATCAGCCTGGCCAACATGGTGAAACCCTGTCTTTACTAGAACTACAAAAATTATCCAGGCGTGGTGGTGGGCGCCTGTAATCCCAGCTACTCAGGAGGCTGAGGCAGGAGAATTGCTTGAACCTGGGAGGCGGAGGTTGCAGTGAGCCGAGATTCCGCCACTGCACTCCAGCTTGGGCTACAGAGCAAGGCTCTGTCTCAAAACAAACAAACAAAATAAAAAAAAAAAAAAAAAAAAAGGAAAAGAAATACTAAGCAGAGGGTTTGGGTTTTAGATCACATGTCAGCTCCAGCTTCGTTATGCCGTCTGGGGTAGCCTCCTTCACCTTTCCCAGAGCCTGTTTTCCCAGCTTTATTACAGGTAGATGACTCCTATGTCATTGGGTTGCAGTGAGGACCAGACGAGGTAACACACGCAGAAGAGACCTGTAGAGCCCCACTGGGGTGCTTCCTGCCCAATCCCTCCTTCCCTCCCACCCTCCACAGGTGTCAGACCCGTGTCTCAGTCAGAAGACTTTCCCTGCCGACGTATGCTCCCTCTAATTCCACCTTGACATTTGTTTCCCAGAAGTCTGGAACTGGCGCGGGGGCTTTGGAAGTAGCAAGTAGCAATACAGTAGCAGCAATGAGTGATGGAAGCTGATAGAAAATGCAGTCACTTTGGTTAGCGGTTGGCCTGCACGAGATGGCGTGGGCATGTCAATCTGAGGTCTCTGCCTCTGGTAGACAAGATTTCTATGCATGAAATAGAGTCCTGTTGCAGCCTGAGACCGAAAGTGCTGGCAGGGTTAAAGAAATCAGGGCTGCAAATCAACTGGGATCTGCTATATTCACAGGACGTTGGAGTTTGGATCTTGCTCATGGCTGGCGAAGTGTTTAGATCCTTTTGGATGTAAGTGGTCCCCTTCTTTGTTTACATCTTTTACAGAATTTTCCAGTCTTATTTCCGGGGCTGGCGGTGGTATTTGCTCAGTTAGTGAGCTAGAAGCTGTGAGGCCTCACCCACATTCCCTTTTCTGGGCCAGCACTCCAACCCCAGCCGCCAGCGATCAAGGCTGCCTCTTCTCTGGGATGTCATCCTTGGCTGGCAGGAGCCAGTTTGCTCCAGGTTTTTGCTGTCCTGCCCCTGCCCCCATGACTGATGCAGAGGCACAGAAGGGGCCCCTGTATCTCCGGAGGGGTGAATCTGCCAGGGACACCTGCTGCGTGGGACAGGCTAAGACCAGACTTCCGGAAATCCTCCCCGGTCAGCTGCATCTCCTTCCAAGCTTTGCTTCCCTACTTTGCCTTGCAGGTCCTTCCAGAAGAGCACTCCCCATCAACCCGCGGGCAGCTGAATTCCCACCTCAGACTCTGCTCCAAGGGCGCCGTGTCTACGGAGGCGACGCTGAGGATGGCTTATCAGGTTGGGTCACTCACCCCACCACGAGGACCTGACCTTAAATTCTCGGTGCATCCTAAGTGTGACCCAGAGACCGCCTGCGTCAGAAGCACCTAGAATGCTGTGGAAGCACCTTCAATGCAGATTCCTGGGCCCAACCCTGGTTCCACTGAATCGGGGTCAGCTGGTGGGCCCAGGAATTGGCATTTTCAACAGCTTCCAATTGTACACCAGAATACTCAAGCTTGTGACTCCCCTGCTCACTGTTTTCTTCATCCTTTCTCACTTCCTGCTGAGTACATATGTATTTTACTACTTTTAGAGATACTTTTACAATAAAGGCAGTCTTGAAAGTGTGTCCGGAATTGGTGGGTTCTTGGTCTCGCTGACTTCAAGAATGAAGGCGCGGACCTGAGTGTTACAGTTCTTAAAGGCGGCACGTTGGGAGTTGTTCGTTTCTCCCGGTGGGCTCGTGGTCTCGCCGGCTTCAGAAGTGAAGCTGCAGACCTTCGCGGTGGGTGTTACAGCCCATAGAGGCAACGAGTTCGGAATTGTTCCTTCCTCCCGGTGGGCTCCTGGTCTCGATAGCTTACAGGAACGAAGCTGCAGACCTTAGCGGTGGATGCTACAGCTCATAAAGGTAGTGCAGACCCAAAGACCAAGAGAACAAAACTACCACAACGCAGAACAGAACCCTAGCGGGTTGCCGCTGCTGGCTCAGGTAGCCTGCTTTTATTCCCTTATTTGGCCCCACCCACATCCTGCTGATTGGTCCATTTTACAGAGTGCTGATTGGTCCGTTTTGACAGAGTGCTGATTGGTGCGTTTACAAACTTTAGCTAGACACTGAGTGCTGATTGGTGCATTTACAATCCTTTAGCTAGACAGAAAAGTTCTCCAAGTCCCCATCTGACCCACAGGCCCAGCCGGCTTCACCTCTCAAAAGCATTTAATCAATTGGATTGTGTGTCCCACCAAACAAGAACAATGTATTCATCTTTGTATCACCACAGTCTGACACTCTGCCTGGCACCTAATATGTGCTCTGTAAACTATTTATAGAATGAATAAAACATTAAATGCTTGCATCATGTTGAACAGGGGATACAAAGAAGTTTAAGCCACTCTCATGTTCCTTTAAGCAGATTATAATTCAGATCAGGGGCCGAGTGTGGTGGCTCACACCTGTAGTCCTAGCACTTTGGGAGCCCGAGGTGGGTGGGCTCAAGGGTTCGAGACCAGCCTGGGCAACATGAATACACAGCTCTTGTTAAGGATTTTATTCTTTATTCCAAGAACAATAGGAAGCCAGGGAAATGGGTCAGTCAATGTGATGGGCAATGAAAGGCTGGCTGGAATTTGGGATGAGACTGTAGGAGCACTGCCAGGGTGCTGCACGGCTCGGCTCCTGCTTGGCCCCAGGCTCAGCCCTGGAGCCGCCTCCACCTGGGCTATTTCACCCGGGCTGGTCCGCCACCTGGGAAGGCTCTTCCCCGATCCACTGAAGGAGCTGCCTGAGGTATGAACGGCAGAGCCTCCCGGGAGCCTGCCCACCCACACTCTCCTCATGAGGTCCCCTTTCATTCTCCATCTTAGCCGGAGATTCTTTCCTTGCTTATGCTGAGTACAACCTGCAATCATTATATGGATTTGATTATTTGGGTTTCTTTCTAATAATCTCCCTCATATAAGCTCCAGGAGGGAAAGAACCATAACTGCCTTGCATCCCCTTTGCCTGGGACAGTGACTGGCACAGGGTGGATGCTGAAGACGTTGGGGCAGTAGGAATGAGTGACAATGGGTCAAGTGGGTGCCTGGCGGGAGTCCCTCTGGGAGGGTGTGAGTGATGACGGGTTGTAGGTTGACTGTGGTATAGACAGCAAGAAGAGGCTGAACTCAAGCAGCCATTGTCAACCTTTTTTATCTCAGGACCTCTTTTTACTCTTAAAAATTAGAGGATGGCCTGGTGCGGTGGCTTACGCCTGTAATCCCAGCATGTTGGGAGGCTGAGGCGGTTGGATCACCTGAGGTTGGGAGTTCGAGACCAGCCTGACCAACATGAGGCAACCCTGTCTCTACTAAAAATACAAAATTAGCCAGGCATGGTGGCACATGCATGCCTGTAATCCCAGCTACTCTGGAGGCTGAGGCAGGAGAATTGCTTGAACCCAGGAGGCGGAGTTTGCAGTGAGCCGAGATTGCACCATTGCACTCCAGCCTGGGCAACAGGAGTGAAATTCTGTCTCAAAAAAAAAAAAAAAAAAATTGGCCAGGCTCGGTGGCTCACGCCTGTAATCCCAGCACTTTGGGAGACTGAGGCGGGCAGATCACGAGGTCAGGAGATCGAGACCATCCTGGCTAACACAGTGAAACCCTGTCTCTACTAAAAATACAAAAATTAGCTGGGCAAAGCCTGGGCACAGTGGCTCACGCATGTAATCCCAGCACTTTGGGAGGCTGAAGTGGGCAGATCATGAAGTCAGGAGATCGAGACCATCCTGGCTAACACATTGAAACCCCATCTCTACTAAAAAAATACAAAAAAACTAGCCAGGCATGGTGGCGGGCGCCTGTAGTCCCAGCTACTCGGGAGGCTGAGGTAGGAGAATGGCAGGAACCCAGGAGGCGGAGCTTGAAGTGAGCCAAGATCGCACCACTGCACTCCAGCCTGGGCGACAGAGTGAGACTCCATCTCAAAAAAAAAAAAAAAAAAAAAATTAGCTGGGCGTGGTGGCAGGTGCCTGTAATCCCAGCCACTCAGGAGGCTAAAGCAGGAGAATTGCTTGAACCCGGGAGGTAGAGGTTGCAGTGAGCCAAGATTGCACCATTGTACTCCAGCCTGGGTGATAAGAGCAAAACTCCATCTCAAAAACAAACAAACAAAAAAACCAAAACCAAACAAACAAAAAACCCGTGTTTGCCAAGAGAAAAAAAAGTGTAGTGAGATGAATGACATTGTTATACATTTCTGCATGTCTTTAATGTCTGACTTATTAGTAGCTGTTGGATTCTTGTATCTGTTGCTATACCATAAGCCATGCAGCTTCTGGGAAGATCTGCTATACGTTTGTGAGAGAATGAGAATGGAAAAGACAAATAACTCCTTAGTATTCATGTGATAATAGCTTTGATCTTTTGGACTTCCTGAAGGGACCTCAGCACCCCTTTTCCCCCATTCAAGGAACCCAGGTCAAACTTTAAGAACTGCTGGATTAATGAGGTATTTAAGAGACAAGATTGACATGCCTTTGTTATATTATTATTGCTAATATTTATGAATATTTATCATATGCCAGGCATGTTTTTACTCTTCACAACAATTCTATGCAGTAGGCACCTTTAGTGTCCCATTTGACACACGAGAAACTGTGATTTTAACACATACAATTTTTCGCAATGCATAAATATGTGTTTGTGTATACTTTTTTCACAAAGAAATTGGACATTGTTATTTTTGCGAGACCAGAATGACTAAATTGACAAATGTATAGCCTTTGGATGGTGCAGCTGAGCTCAACTCCAAACAGTGAGTCTGCAATATAAAAGTGCCCTCCACTACTTTCCAGAGCTCAATTACTTTTGAAATCTAACTTTGATTTAAATGTATTTTTGAGCCATTTCATTTTTAAGAGCTCATTTGGAGAGCTTAAAAAATTAATTAAATCTTTTGTCTTTGAAGTTTAATTCTTCCACTTCTGGCATATTCTCTATGGCTTATGAGAAAAATTGCCAATCACTCGGGTAATTTGCACCTAAAATAAAGGTGCAGAAAAGTTGAAATTAGAAGCAGCTAGAATATTAGTTCCTTGGTTTCTCCTGCCAGGGCTTTGGACCAAAATTCACAGAACTTTCCTGTATTTTCACATTTTCCTTTTTTAGGAACTTCTAGGAGAAAGTGGTACTTGAACCAAGTCCTGTTGAAGGCTCTACTTTCTCAAGGCACCTGGTCACCACCACTGTCTCTCTGCTTTGAATATGGGTGGTTAAGAATGTTTATGAGTTTTAAAACATTTATAGCAACAAATATCTATAGAAAGATCTATAGGATATAATTTTGAGAAAAATGGCCACCCTTGGTGTTGACTACTATCCCAATGGTACTGATTAGTTGTCTGGTTGGTCTTTAATCGTAGGGGCACACCTCTCTACACCCTAAGATTAAAAAGATAAAGTCATTAGGGTGCTCAAGTTGTGAACATCTCATTGATGAAGGCTTTGGCTCAATTGTCGATGATTATGATGCTGTTGGCCTCTGCTTTGCCCCACAGTTAAATGCATTAAATAAACATTTCTGACTATCGGTGCAATCATGAGGGCCCTCAGCTTAGCTGGGATGAAATGGCTTCAAAAGTAGGTAAAGGAACTCATGTTGCATTTGACAAACCCTAGCTCCTACCTAAACCCTAATCTAAATAAGAGATTTTTCACTGGGTTTCTAGAACTGTGCTCCTGGAGGGCAGAGATGAGCACGTTCATTTCTGTGTCTTCAGACCTGCCTGACAGACAGAAAGTGCTCAGCAAGGTGGTTTTATGAACGGCTTTCATGCCTGACACGGACATGCCACTGCTTCCATTTACAGCAAGACGTGCCAAGTTGCAGGGATTTCTCCTGCAGAGGTATTTGTGGTGAGGAAGGAACCCTCATGACTGTTAAGTCAAGAAATCTACCTGCTGTGTGCTCAGCCTTGAGTGTCCATAGGAATGAGTATGTGGACAGGTGAGGGTCTCCAGCTGTCCTGCATGTTGGCTGAAGCTCTGTTATTGTTTTTTGTTTTTTTCTGGGATGGAGTCTCACTCTGTCTCCCAAGCTGGAGTGCAGTGGCGCGATCTTGGCTCACTGCAAGCTCCGCCTCCCGGGTTCATGCCATTCTCCTGCCTCAGCCTCCTGAGTAGCTGGGACTACAAGCACTTGCCATCACGCCCGGCTAATTTTTTGTATTTTTAGTAGAGATGGGGTTTCACCATGTTAGCCAGGATGGTCTCAATCTCCTGACCTCAAGTGATCCACCCTCGGCCTCCCAAAGTGCTGGGATTACAGGCATGAGCCACTGCACCCAGCTGTTTTGTTTTGTTTTCTGAGACAGAGATTCACTCTTGTTTCCCAGGCTGGAGTGCAATGGCATGATCTTGGCTCATTGCAACCTCCACCTCCCAGGTTTAAGTGATTCTCCTGCCTTAGCCTCCCAAGTAGCTGGGATTACAGGCATGCACCACCATGCCCAGCTAATTTTGTATTTTTAGTAGAGAAGGGGTTTCACCATATCAGTTAGGCTGGTCTTGAACTCCCGGCCTCAGGTGATCTGCCCGCCTCAGCCTCCAAAAGTGATTACAGGTGTGAGCCACCATGCCCGGCCTTGAAGCTCTGTTATTGTGCATGAGATGTCTGGCAGCCTTGTCTTCTAAGGGAGGGCCGAGTAGTATGGTGGGAAAAGCATAAGACATGGAGGGCCAGGCATGGTGGCTCACACTTGTAATCCCAGCACTTTGGGAGGCCAAGGTGGGCAGATTGCTTGAGGCCAGGAGTTTAAGACAAGCCTGGCCAACATGGTGACACCCCGATTCTACTAAAATTACAAAAACTAGTCGGGGCATGGTGGCATGCACCTGTAATCCCAGATACTCAGGAGGCTGAGGCAGGAGAATCCCTTGAACTCAGGAGGCGGAGGCTGTAGTGAGCGAGCTGAGATCAAGCCACTGCACTCCAGCCTGGGCAACAGAGTGAGACTCTGTCAAAAAAAAAAAAAAAAAAAAAAAAAGCATGAGACACGGACTCTGAGAATCTGCTTCTATACATTTACTGTGAGCTGTTATCTATCGCTGCAAAACAAACTCCCCAACACAGTGACTTAGAACTATTGAAAAAGACCTTCTCTTTGACCAAACTTGAGTCAGGCTCCCCTGAGTCTTCTTCTCAAAGAGGCTTTAACCTTGCCTGTGAAAACCGCAAAATCTCAACAGAAACAATTCTGTTCACCCTCACACTAGGAGACTTGAAAACACACTAGCTTGGTTTCTAACAGCTCGAGGTCATGTCCCTAGCATGACCCAGCTCCTCTTGAGTTCCTGCCTGGAAAAGCTCAGGGCTGCCAGCAGAATTTACTGTTTGAGATTTGCATGGACCCAATGACTGCCTTGTCTAACAATTCTCTGAAAAGGGCCCCCCACCCACTCTTAGTAAGTTTCTGCTTACGTGACTCCACCCGACCCCACCCAAGCTCCTCCTGCTTATTCCTCCTCCATCCTCCCTCATCCTCCCCTTAAAAATGCCCAGTCACTGCTGGGCGTGATGGCTCCCACCTGTAATCCCAGCACTTTGGGAGGCCAAGGTGGGTGGATCACAAGGTCAGGAGTTTGAGACCAGCCTGGCCTGGCCAACATGGTGAAACCCTGTCTCTACTAAAAATACGAAAATTAACTGGGTGTAGTGGCACGTGCCTGTAATCCCAGCTACTCAGGAGGCTGAGGCAGGAGAATCGCTTGAACCCGGGAGGGGGAGGTTGCAGTGAGCCAAGATCCTGCCACTGCCCTCCAGCCTGGGCAACAGAGGGAGACTCTGTTTCAAAAAAAAAAAAAATGCCCAGTCACCTCTGCATGGCTCAGAGTTGAGCTCAGCATGCACTGATGTCTCTCTCCCTTACTGGAGTAGTCTCAATAAAGTCCATCCTGCTGTCTTTAATAAGTGCCTGGCTCTATTTCTTTTTGACACTGCAATAAACTCTTATTAACTCACACAGTTTCAGTGGCCAGGAATTCAGGAGAGCCTTAGCTGGGTGGTTCTGGCTCAAGATCTCTCAAGATGTGGACCAGGGCTGCACTCATCTGAAGGCTCGTCTTGGGCTGGAGGGTCGGCTTCCAAGGTGGCACACTCACGTGGACGGCTTGGTGCTGGCTGTTGGTGGTAGGCCTCAGTTTCCACCATGTGGGCCTTGCCACAAGTCTGAGTGTCCTTGTGACGTGGCAGCTGGCTCCCCCCAAGAATGAAGAGAGAGCAAGCTGGGGGCTGCAGAGTCTTTAATGACCCGGCCTTGGAAGTCCCACATGGTCCCTTTTGCAGTGTCCTGTTGATTTCAGAGATTCTAGTCTCTGTGGCAGGGACTCCAAGGGTGTGGACACAGAGGCAGGAATCACTGGAGGATATCTTGGAGACTGGCTGCATGACTCAGCTTGTAATCCGTGTTGTGACCTTGGGCAGGTCACTGGAATTCTCTGGGCTGGAACAATAAGGGTAGGCGAGGCCTGACCTGTGAGGGCCCTCCTGGGCCTGACTTTACCTTCTTTTTTTTTTTTTTTTGAGATGGAGTTTTGCTCTTGTTGCCCAGGCTGGAGTGCAATGGCATGATCTCGGCTCACTGCAACCTCTGCCTCCTGGGTTCAAGTGATTCTCCTGCCTCAGCATTCCGAGTAGCTGGGACTACAGGTGCGTGCCACCACGCCTGGCTAATATTTTGTATTTTAGCAGAGATGGAGTTTCACTGTGTTAGGATGGTCTCGATCTCCTAATCTCATGATCTGCCTGCCTCAGCCTCCCAAAGTGCTGGGATTACAGGCGTGAGCCACTGCACCCGGCCGACTTTACCTTCTATTAAGCAAGAGAGTGATGTGCTGAATGAAAGAGTTAACGTGCCTACAAAAGCATTTCTCACAGAGAGGAACTCATCTGCCAGGGTCTGGCCCAGATCCTAGAATTGGGCTGCTTGTTTTGTGGGGGAGGGGGGAGGGGATCGCAGCAGCTGTCTGGGTTTCCCGTCATTTCTCCTCTCACTTCCGAGGTCAGGGAGATAGGAGGAGACATGAACAGGTGGCTCCTGACGAGGCTGGCTGGGATCAGCCCTGATACAAAGACACCAAGGATTTGGAAATGAAAATGCAAGTGGGGGAGATTGGCAGGCTGCCCTCGGAAGGAGCTGGTCCTAGTTTTGCTCCTTTGAGGAGTTTTGCACCTGATTAATGATTCTGTTCAAGATGGATTAAGCTGCTGGAACCTTTCTCCATTTAGCAGTGCCAGCTCTCTCCTCCTCTTAACGCTTTTTTTTTTTCTCGTCCCAGTCTCCCCCACCCCCAGTTTGTTCTCGGGACAAACCATCGGTCTAGGATGAACTCCGTTTTCCACTGGAAGGTCTCAAGAGGCTAAAGGCACCCCACGGGCTTCTCCCCGAGGAAGGGACTGAGGACAGAGGAGGGCCACGGTTGCAATGAGGACAGCTCCGGCTCAAAAGCGTCCCTGGACCCTTGACTCTCAGCTTGTCTTGTCTTCCTTAATAAATTTCAGTTTGCGGGGGAGGGGAGAGGGATAGCATTAGGAGATATACCTAATGCTAAATGACGAGTTAATGGGTGCAGCACACCAACATGGCACATGTATACATATGTAACAAACCTGCACATTGTGCACATGTACCCTAAAACTTAAAGTATAATAATAATAAAATTAAAACAACACCCCCTGCAGAGGTTACATTTCCCCCTTTTCTTCTGTCATCTTCTCCCTTTCCTTCCAGTGTCACATGGGGAGCAGCAAAGCCTCAAAATCATGGCCTTATAATTTTCGTCATCACTGGAATGGATTCTCAGTTTCTTCTCCATTCTTCTCCTTCCTGCAAGAACATTCTTCTAATATGTATTGATTAGCCATTTGAAAGATTGCTCTTCCTGTTTTTTGTTTGTTTGTTTGTTTGTTGAGACAGGGTCTCACTTCGTCACCCAGGCTGGAGTGCAGTGCCGTGATCTCAGCTCACTGCAGCCTCGACCTCCCAGGTTCGAGCGATCCTCCCACCTCAGACCCACAAGTTGGTCTTCCTAGTGGACAGCTGTTAAAGTGAGCTTCTGATTGGACCTTCGTTATTTTGGGGTGACGGAGAGCAGTAAAAACATAGGAGAGCTTGGTCTTCGCCTTTGATTCCCTCCGATCCTGCTGCAGCCCCTGTTTTTAACACCACTTTCCCCTTGGCTCTGCCCGCTCCTCCCCCTGCCGTGTCCCCCCCAGGCTCCCTCGCCACGTTTCAAGTTGTTCTTTATTCAGCTGGGATCCAAGGATCTCCCTCCAGAGAAAGCGGATCATTGCCGGCTCCTTCGAGTCCCGGAGTGCCAAGTCCTGCGCCCAGCACAATGGTCCTTTATACCTCGCTGTGTGCTCTCTTTCCTGGCCCCAGCTGCCCCCATGCCCTGTTTTTCCTTACTCTTTTCTGCAGTATTTTCTTTCCAGTTGACTTAGTTATTACAGTACATGGACCGGGGAGGAAAGCTCCGGAACCTGGGCCTGGCGCATGGAGTCTGAGAGCAAGTGTGGCTCCCTGGCCCTGCCATGAAGCTACCAGGAGGTGATCGGTCACATTCCTACACACAGAGCCTGGGCTCGCTTTGCTTTCATGGCAGGGGACAGAGGCAGGGCTTGTCTCCTGATAGCCAGCTTCCCTGTGGGGTCCTGGCCCTGCCAGCCTAGGACATTTCCACAAACAGAACTGAGTACTGAGTGGTGAGTGGGTGAGGCCATCATTTCTCAACTGCAGCTTAGCATGAAGTGTAATAAATAAGACTGACACGGCCGGGCGCGGTGGCTCACGCCTGTAACCCCAGCACTTTGGGAGGCCGAGGCGGGCGGAACACGAGGTCAGGAGATCCAGACCATCCTGGCTAACACGGTGAAACCCTGTCTCTACTAAAAATACAAAAAATTAGCCGGGCGTGGTGGCGAGAGCCTGTAGTCCCAGCTACTGGGTAGCCTGAGGCAGGAGAATGGCGTGAACCCGGGAGGCGGAGCTTGCAGTGAGCCGAGATTGCGCCACTGCACTCCAGCCTGGGCGACAGAGCGAGACTCAGTCTCAAAAATAAAATAAAATAAAAAAAAAGAATAACACGTTTAAAAAAGAAAACAGCTCCAATTAAAGGGAAGGGGTTGAGGCTGGGCATGGTGGCTCACATCTGTAATCCCAACACTTTGGGAGGCCACAGCCTGAGGATTGCTTGAGCCTAGGAGTTTGAGACCAGTTTGGGCAACACAGTGAGACCCCTGTCTCTATTAAAAAACAATAGGCTGGGCGCGGTGGCTCATGCCTGTAATGCCAGCACTTTGGGAGACCGAGGCAGACAGATCACCTGAGGTCAGGAGTTCGAGACCAGCCTGGCCAACATGGTAAAACCCCGTTTCTACTAAAAAATACAAAAATTAGACCGGACGCGGTGGTTCATGCCTAATAATCCCAGCACTTTGGGAGGCTGAGGCGGATGGATCACCTGAAGTCAGGAGTTCGAGACCAGCCTGACCGACATGGTGAAATCTCGTCTCTACTAAAAATACAAAAAAAATTAGCGGGGCGTGGTGTTGTATGCCTGTAATCCCAGCTACTTGGGAGGCTGAGGTAGGAGAATCGCTTGAACCGGGGAGGCGGGGGTTGCAGTGAGCCAAGATTGCACCATTGCACTCCAGCCTAGGTGACAAGAGTGAAAATCCATCTCAAAAAAGCAAAAAACAAAAATTAGCCAGGCGTGGTGATACGTGACTGTAGTCCCAGCTACTTAGGAAGCTGAGGCAGGAGAATCACTTGAACCTGGGAGGCAGAGGTTGCTGTGAGCTGAGATCATGCCACTGCACTCCAGCCTGGGTGACAGAGTGGGAGTTCATCTCAAAGAAAAAAAAAAGCACAACAACAATAGCTGGGTACAGTGGCCCACACCTGTAATCCCAGCACTTTGGGAGACTGAGGCAGGCAGATATTTGAAGCCAGGAGTTAGAGATCAGCCTGACCAACATGGTGAAACCCCATCTCTACCAAACAAAAAATACAAAAATTAGCTGGGTGTGGTGGTGAGCACCTGTAGCCCCAGCTACTCAGGAGGCTGAGGCAGAAGAATTGCTTGAACCCAGGAGGCAGAGGTTGCAAGGAGCCGAGATTGGGCCACTGCACTCCAGCCTAGGCAACAGAGTGATACACCACCTCAACAAATAAAAAAATTAAATTAAATTAAATTTAAAATATTTTAAAAACCAACAATAATGAATAATAAAATAAAGAGAAGTGGCTGATATTGGAGTAGATGAAAGTAGAGGTGCCACCATCAGGGACTTGGAGACTTTCTGTCTGTGCGTGGGATCGACCAGCGGCGAGGTGTTACTACCCTCCCCTGGCTGCCAGGGGAGCCTGGAAGGCAAGACGGATACAGGCCCCTTTCAACTCAGAGATTTGACTTCCTCCTTCCCTCTTGTTTACAAGGGGCTACCAGAACTTCCAAGAGCTACAAATGGTGATGTTGACATGAAACACCTGCTTTCAATTTTTTAAACATTTTAAATTAAGCTCTTTAAGTTTGTAATAAAAAAAAACTAGGGTTTCGGGGTAGGGTGTGGTGGCTCACGCCTGTAATCCCAGCACCGTGGGAGGCTGAGGTGGGTGGATCATGAGGTCAAGAGATTGAGACCATCCTGGCCAACATGGTGAAACCATTTCTCTACTAAAAATACAAAAAAAAAAAAAATTAGCTGGGCGTGGTGGCATACACCTGTAGTCCCAGCTACTCGGGAGGCTGAGGCAGGAGAATCACTTGAACCTGGGAGGCAGAGGTTGCAGTGAGCCGAGATCGCGCCACTGCACTCCAACCTGGCAACAGAGCAAGACTCCATCTCAAAACAAAAACAAAAACAAAAAAAACTGGTGTTTGATTTTTGAGGTCCTGGATTTCAGGAAGAAAATGAAAAAGTCTAACATGGACAACAAAGATCACCCAGAACAAGGAAGACAAAATTCGTGACCACGTTGGCTTCCCTCTCATTTACGTACTCGTGAATATTTGCAGGGTACATCGCCTGAGGACTAGGAGCAGGTGACTGATTTGTATTGCAGCTGAAACTGTGGAAAGAGGGTGGAGGGTGACCGAGGGCACGTTTTTAGGTGTGATGCTGTTGATGAAAACTCATCTAGAATGTTGGACACAACTGAGAAAACACCATCAGCTGGATGTGGTGGCTCATGCCCGTAATCCCAGCACTTTGGGAGGCTGAGGCAGGAGGATCACCTGAGGTCAGGAGTTTGAGACCAGCCTGACCAACATGGTGAATGAACCCCTGTCTCTACTAAAAATACAAAATTAGTCAGGTGTGGTGGCGGGTGCCTGTAATCCCAGCTACTCAGAAGGCTGAGGCAGGAGAATCGCTTGAACCCAGAGAGGCCGAGGTTGCAGTGAGCCAAGATTGTGCCACTGCACTCTAGTCTGGGCAACAGAGAGAGATTCCATCTCAAAAAAAAAAAAAAAGGGAAAGAAAAGAAAAAAAGAAAGAAAGAAAAAACACCATCACCACTACCACCGCCCTGGGACGACAAAGGCGATTGTAATCCAGGTTTAGGAGATGGCCCTTGTCAGGCTGCCTGGGCGGCTGTAGGTGCGGTGGATACCGGTAAGCACTGTACCATACTGCATCCAAAAATATTTAACTACGTCTCTACCAGTCGTTAAATAGATGCTGCTCCATCTCTCCCCACGCCCCAAAATCTGCCTCTTCTGGCCCCTCTCTAGGGATCTCCTGGAGCTTCTTAAAATCCAGCTGCTAAAGGGCTAAGTCTGGCATAGCTGGGGTCCAGGACCTTGTTTCAGAGTTAAAGCTGGTATCCGTTGTTAGACATTTTGAATATTGCCCCTGCTTATACCGATGACTGTAATATGTGTTGGCAGAGACATCTGGAAGGAGCTCTGCCATGGCAATGCTTGAAGGCTGATCCACTGAATATGAGAGTGAGTTCTGGTACATGGGAGGGGGGGCCATGGCATGAAACCCGTTCCTAGACATCGAAATTTGATTTATTAACATTGGCAGCAGATACGGGCCATCTTGCCAACAAACTTTCTGAAATTGAAATCGCATGAAACTTTCCTAGTTCCTGCTAGTGCCACATACGCCCTTTTCTTTCTAAGGCAGCAAATTCACTTAAAAATAATTAAGAAAAGATTGATGGGATTTTGGAATTGTAATGAAAAATATGATCTCATTAGTAAGTCATGAGTCAGGGCCAGGCACTCTGTCAGATGTACGCACTTCTGCATAATTAGAAGCTGATGCAAGGAGAACTAATAATGGCATGAATTAAAAAATTAAAATGGTTTCCCTTTATACTTTTTTGGCTGTGCTGAAATTCTTCCTTTTGCAAAGATTCAGAAAGAGATCTCTTTCAAAAGACCCTATCACATGCAACTGAGTTGATGAAAAAGAAAATGGCGGTGAAAGAATGGAAAGGGAGGCTGGGGGTGTGGCTCATGCCTGTAATCCCAGCACTTCGGAGGCCAAGGTGGGTGGATCACCTGAGGTCAGGAGTTCGAGACCAGCCTGACCAATATGATGAAACCCTGTCTACTACTAAAAATACAAAAATTAGCCAGGCGTGGTGGTGTGAGCCTTTAGTTCCAGCTACTTAGGAGGCTGAGACAGGAGAATCGCTTGAACCCGGGGAAGGCGGAGGTTGCAGTGAGCCGTGATCGCGCCATTGCACTCCATTTTGGATGACAGAGTGAGATTCCATCTCAAAAAAAAAAAAAGAATTGAAAGGGCTAAATGGATTTCCACTAAATCCGCCGGGAATTCTCATTTAGGCCACCAGTCCAGGGTGAGAACTGCTGTAATTCACTTGTCTTCAAGAGGGTAAATACATACCTGAGGGGGATAGGTTTTGAAAAGAGCCACTAGACGAATCATGTAAATGTCACATAATCTCTGACTTAACCACAGAATGAATAAAACAGTTACCCTGCAGAAGCAGCATTCATGCTTTTCGAGGCTGTAGTATTCATGCTTTTCGAGGCTGCAGTGAGTTTGGAGTGAGACACAGCGGGCAGCACCCTTATCTCTGCCGCTTTGAGTGGGGTGACCCTGACTGACTGAATTAGTTTAAGCCGTGATTTACTCATTTGTAAAATGAGAATAAGGAAACTAGCCTCTCAGGTTTAGTACAAGAATGAAATCACATAACATTCAGAGGGCAGGCATTCATTAAAAATTATTTATCCCTTCATGAAAAATATTGCAGAGGAAACAAACAAACAAATAAAATGTATCTCCCCCCCCACCTTTTTTTTTTGAGACAGAGTCTCACTCTATCGCCCAGGCTGGAGTGCAGTGGCGTGATCTGGGCTCACCGCAACCTCCGCCTCCCAGATTCAAGCGATTCTCCTGCCTCAGCCTTCTGAGTAGCTGGGATTACAGGTGCGCGTCACCACCTCTGGCTAATTTTTGTATTTTTAGTAGAGACGGGGTTTCACCATGTTGGTCAGGCTGGTCTCAAACTCCTGACCTTGTGATCTGCCCGCCTCGGCCTCCCAGAGTGCTGGGATTACAGGCGTGAGCAACCATGCCCCGCCTTTTTTTTTTTTTTTTGGGACGGAGTCTCGCTCTGTGGCCCAGGCTGGAGTGCAGTGGTGTGATCTCAGCTCACTGCAACCTCTGCCTCCCAGGCTCAAGCGATCCTCCCACCTCAGCCTCCCATGTAGCTGAGACCATAGTTGTGCACCACCATGCCTGGCTAATTTTTTGTATTTATGGTAGAGATGGGGTTTTGCCATGTTGGCCAGGTTGGTCTTGAACTCCTGAGCTCAAGCTATCCTCCTGCTTTGGTCTCCCAGAGTGCTGGGATTACAGGCGTGAGCCAGTGTGCCCTGCCATCCTTTCCCTTTTCTTTAGGTACCTTACTTTGTTGACATTTGAAAGTAGAACATTGGCCGGGCACGGTGGCTCATGCCTGTAATCCCAAGAGCAAAACTCCGTCTAAAAAGAAAGAAAGTAGAACATTTTTCCCTTATTTTTTTTTTTTTAGATGGAATCTTGCTCTGTCGCCCAGGCTGGAGTGCAGTGCCTGGATCTTGGCTCACCGCAACCTCTGCCTCCCGGGTTCAAGTGATTCTCCCACCTCAGCCTCCCGAGTACCTGGAATTACAGGTGCGCATCACCACACCCAGCTACTTTTTGTATTTTTAGTAGAGACGGGGTTTCACCATGTTGGTCAGGCTGGTCTCGAACTCCTAACCTGAAGTGATCCCCTGGCCTCAGCCTCCCAAAGTGCTGGGATTACAGGCATGAGCCACCGCACCTGGCGAAGGTCTTGACCATTAAGTGAGGAGATTAAACTTCCTTTGGTTGGGAGTCATGGAAGATTTTGGAGCAGGTAAATGACAGAGATTCATTTTGAAGTAGTGCCTACAAAATGACATGGAGGCAGAAGAAACAGTGGGAAGACTGTAGTCCAGGAAAGAAATCATGGAGGCCTGAATGGGATGATGGTAATGGACATAGCAGGGAAAAGGGAGATAAGAGACGTAGTTGAAGCAGACGCTATGGGACCTGGGAACTGAGAAACACCCAGGCCCTCATAAGCTCCCCAGAGAGATGGAATCTGATGCTAATGTCACTCTTCCAGACATTATCCCAAAAGAGTTGGAACCTGCTGGGAACCTGATGCTAGGCCAGGTAATTCCACTGCATTTCCCATCCCTGTCCTCTCCACCACCCAGAATGTGCACCCTCTCTCTGTCTCCTGCTGGTGTCGCTTCCCTTCCCTTGACGTGCTTCCCGTCAGGACCCCTCCTCTCTTTCCACAGAGTCTTCTGGCTAAAACCCATCACCTCCCATGTGCCAAGCACTATACCAGGGGCTCTGCACACATGATCTGATGCAAAACCTTTTTTTAGGCCGGGCGCGGTGGCTCACGCCTGTAATCCCAGTACTTTGGGAGGCCGAGGCGGGTGGATCACCTGAGGCCAGGAGTTTGAGACCAGCCTGGCTCACGTGGTGAGACCCCCATCTCTACTAAGAATACAAAAGTTAGCCGGGCATGGGGGCGGGCGCCTCTAATCCCAGCTACTTGGGAGGCTGAGGCAGGAGAATCGCTTGAATCCGGGAGGCAGAGGTTGCAGTGAGTCGAGATCACGTGAGACTTTGTCTCAAAAAAAAAAATAAGTAAATAAAAATATAAAACCTGTTTTTAGTGGAAGGCTCCCTCCAGAGCTGTGCTGCATGGCGGTGGTTTGTTGATAGAAACTCCCTGCACAAGGACTTCAAATCAGTATCCTGTTAGTTCCTTGTTACACACCAGCTTTTTCAAATCATCATGTCACCTTGGTGTAAAACCCCACATGCTCTTTTTTTTTTTTTGAGACGGAGTCTTGCTCTGTCGCCCAGACTGGAGTGCAGTGGCGCGATCTCGGCTCACTGCAAGCTCTGCCTCCTGGGTTCACGCCATTCTCCTGCCTCAGCCTCCCAAGTAGCTGGGACTACAGGTGCCCGCCACCACGCCCGGCTAATTTTTTTGTATTTTTAGTAGAGACGGGGTTTCACTGTGTTAGCCAGGATGGTCTCGATCTCCTGACCTCATGATCTGCCCGCCTCGGCCTCCCAAAGTGCTGGGATTACAGGCGTGAGCCACCACGCTTGGCCAAATCCCACACACTCTTGCACAGTTTTTCTTTCTGTTTCATTACTTCTCACCTCTCCTCCACGCCGTCTACCCAAGTCCTGGTCACGGCCATATTTATTGAAGGTTCTGGCATGGGTCGTGGCAGTCTTTCATTCTAGCCCACGTCCCCATCATCCTCAGTGACTGCAGTGCCCATTTGAATAATCGGCATAAAACTCTAGTCTCAAGCTTCCTTCACCTCCAGCTCTGAGTCTTCACCTCCTTTCTCCTTGCTCCACCTGTTCCAATGGTACACCTAAGCCTTGCCATTGCTAGGACTACAGATCCGTATCAGAAATACATTCTTGGCTGGGTGCAGAGGCTTGCACCTGTGATCCTAGCACTTTGGGAGGTCGAGGCATTGGGATGCTTGAGCTCAGGAGGTTGAGACACTGTCTCTACAAAAAAATACATAAATTGGCCAAGACTGGTGGCTCACACCTGTAATCCCAGCACTTTGGGAGGCCGAGGAGGGCGGATCACCTGAGGTCGGGAGTTCAAGACCAGCCTGACTGACATGGAGAAACCCTGTCTCTACTAAAAATACAAAATTAGCCAAGCATGCCTGTAATCCCAGCTACTCGGGAGTCTGAGACAGGAGAATCGCTTGAACTCGGGAGGTGGAGGTTGCAACGAGCCGACATCATGCCATTGCACTCCAGTCTGGGCAACAAGAGCAAAACCCCATCTCAAAAAAAAAAAAAAAAAAATACAAAAATTAGCGGGGCATGGTGGCATGAGCCCGTAGTCCCAGCTACTTGGGAGGCTGAGGCAGGAGGTTGGCTTGAACCCAGGAGGTGAAGGTTGCTGTGAGTTGGGATCGCGCCACTGCACGAGCCAGTTTTGAGCCAGACCCTGTCTCCAAACAACAACAACAACCAAAAAAAAGAAAAAAAGAAAAAACCTCTCAAACTCCACCTTCTCATTTTTCAGTTCCTTCAGGCTACCACCACCTCCACAACCACGCTGAATAGAAGTGGTGAGAGTGGGCATCTTTCCTCATTCCTAATTTCAAAGGGAAAAATGTTCACATTTCTATCTATTTTCTTTTTCTTTTTTTTTTTTTTGAGACGGAGATGCACTCTGTCGCCCAGGCTGGAGTGCATTGGGTGATCTCGACTCACTGCAACCTCTGCCCCCCAGGTTCAGGCGATTTTCCTGCCTCGGCCTCCCCAGTAGCTGAGATTACTGACGCCCACCACCACGCCTAGCTAATTTTTGTATTTTTCATAGAGACGGGGTTTTGCCATGTTGGCCAGGCTAGTCTCGAACTCCTGGCCTCAGGTGATCCAACCACCTTGGCCTCCCAAAGTACTGGGATTACAGGCGTGAGCCACCATGCCCAGCCATTATTATTATTATAGTTACTATTATTGGAGACACAGTTTCGCTCTTGTCACCCAGGCTGGAGGCAATGGTGTAATCTCGGCTCACTGCAACCTCTCCCTCCTGTGTTCAAGCGATCCTCCTGCCTCAAAATCCTGAGTAGCTGGGATTACAGGCATGCTTCACCATGCCCGGCTAATTTTCTTTTCTTTTTTTTTTTGAGGCGGAGATGCACTCTGTCGCCCAGCCTGGAATGCAGTGGCGCCATCTCAGCTCACTGCAAGCTCCGCCTCTCGGGTTCACGCCATTCTCCTGCCTCAGCCTCCCGAGTAGCTGGGACTACAGGCGCCCGCCACCACGCCCGGCTAATTTTTTGTATTTTTAGTAGAGACAGGGTTTGACCATATTAGCCAGGATGGTCTCTATTTCCTGAACTCGTGATCCACCTGCCTCGGCCTCCCAAAGTGCTGGGATTACAGGCGTGAGCCATCATGCCCGGCGAAGTCAGGCTAATTTTTGTATTATTAGTAGAGATGGAGTTTCACCATGTTAGCCAGGCTGGTCTCAAACTCCTGACCTCACGTGATCCACTGACATCAGCCTCCCAAAGTGCTGGGATTACAGGCATGAGCCACTGTGCCTGGTTATAGTTCTTTTTTTCTTTTTTTAGACTGAGTTTCTCTCTGTCACCCAGGCTGGAGTGCAGTGGCACGATCTCAGCTCACTACAACCTCCGCCTCCCAGGTTCAAGCAATTCTTATATTTCAAGCGATTCCCAGCTTCCCGAGTAGCTGGGATTACAGGCGCCCATGACCATGCCCAGCTAATTTTGGTATTTTTAGTAGAGACAGCGTTTCGCCATGTTGGCCAGGCTGGTCTCGAGCTCCTGACCTCAGGTGATCCACCTGCCTCGGCCTCCCAAAGTGCTGGGATTACAGGCGTGAGCCACTGAGCCTGGCCCATATTTCTCTATTCAGTATATTTGCAGAGGTCAATTTTATTAAATATTTTAATGCATCTATTGAGATGGTAACATAATTTTCTCCTTTATTTTGCTAATGTGCTGAATTACATTTTTTTAGTAAACCAATTTAACATTCATAGCATACACGTAAATTGGTCACGCTGCATTAGTTTTCTTATACATTTGTAGAACTGGTTTGCAATATGTTATTTGGCATTTCTGCATCTATGTTTATGAATGATATTGGCCTGTAATTAAATTTTTTTTAAGTAATATCCTTGACAGGTTTTGCTACAAAGTTATGATAGCCTCATAAAATGTACTTTGTTTCACTTCTCTGGGAGAGTTTGTTTGAGATTGGTTTTAGTTCTTCCTTACACGTTGATAAAATTTATAGAAAAAGCCATCTGGTCTTAGAGTTTTCTTTGGGGGAAGGTTTTATATTACGGATTTAACCTCTTTTATAGTTATAAAATAATTCAGGTTTTCTGTGTCTTTTTGTGTCCATTTTGTTTTTAGTAAAAATTTTCAATCTTTACATAAAGTCATTTAAAGTGTATACCTATTTTTTTTTTTGAATATCTGCAAGATCTGTAGTGATGTCTCTTTTTTCATTCCAAACATATTTTTTTGGTTCCTCTTCTCCTTTTTTCTTGAGCAGTTTCATCAGAGATTTATCAATTTAATTTTTTTTTTTTTGAGATGGAGTCTTGCTCTGTCACCCAAGCTGGAGTGCAGTGGTGCGATCTCAGCTCTCTGCAAACTATGCTTCCTGGGTTCAAGGGATTCTCCTGCCTCACCCTCCTGAGTAGCTGGGATTACAAGTGCACGCCACAACACCTGTGTGCCACCACACCTGGCTAATTTTTGTATTTTTATTTATTTATTTATTTTTGAGATGGAGTCTTGCTCTGTCGCTCAGGCTGGAGTGCACTGGCGCAATCTCGGCTCACTGCAACCTCCGACTCCCGGGTTCAAGCGATTCTCCTGCCTCAGCCTCCTGAGTAGCTGGGATTACCAGCGCGTGCCACCATGCGCAGCTAATTTTTTTGTATTTTTAGTAGAGACAGGGTTTTACCATGTTGGTCAGGCTGGTTTTGAACTCTTGACCTCGTGATCTGCCCGCTTCAGGCTCCCAAAGTGTTGGGATTACAAGCATGAGCCACCGCACCCAGCCTAGTATTTTTTTTAAAAGAACCAATTTTTGGCCAGGTGCAGTGGCTCACACCTGCAATCCCAGCACTTTGGGAGGCCAAGGTGGGAAGATCACTTGAACCCAGGAGTTTGAGACCAGCCTGGGCAACACAGTGAGACTTCTTCTCTACAAAAAATAGAAAAATTAGCTTAACATGGTGATGCGAGCCTGTAACTCCAGCTTCTTGGCAGGCTAAGATGGGAAGATCAGTTGAGCCTGGGAACCTGGGATGTTGAGTCGGCCATGAGCTGTGATTGTGCCACCTCACTCCAGCCTAGGTAACACAGTGAAACACTATCTCAGAAAAAAAAGAACCAATTTTTTGCTTTACTGATTTTCTCTATTTTCTGTCTGTTTTTATATATAATTATATATATATATATAATCATCAATATATGCTTTTATTGACTGGGCGTGGTGACTCATGCCTCTAATCCCAGCACTTTGGGAAGCCGAGGCGGGTGGATCACCTGAGGTCAGGAGTTCAAGACCAGCCTGGCCAACATGGAGACACCTTGTCTCTACTAAAAATACAAAAATTAGCCAGGTGTGGTGGTGGGCACCTGTAATCCCAGCTACTTGGGAGGCTGAGGCAGAAGAATCGCTTGAAACTGGGAGGTGGAGGTTGCAGTGAGTGGAGACAGGGCCACTGCACTCCAGCCTGAACAACAGAGTGAGACTCCACCTCAAAAAAAAAAAAAAAAATATATATATATGCTTTTATGTATATTGTTATTATTATAGAGATAGAGTCTCGCTCTGTCATGCAGGCTGAAGTGCTGTGGCACAATCATGGCTCATTTCAGCCTCAACCCGCCGGGCTGAATCGATTCTCCTTTCTCAGCCTCTCGAGTAGCAGGGACCACAGGTGCCACACCTGGCTAATTTTTTTATTTTTGGTAGGGACAGGGTTTCCCTATGTTGCCAAAGCTAGTCTCAAATTCCTGGGCTCAAGCTGTCCTCCCACCTCAGCCTCCCAAAGTGTTGGAATTACAGACATGAGCCACCATACCTGGCCATTAGCTATATTATTTTCTTCCTTCTACTTTCATTTAGTGTTTTCTGCTACTCCTGTTCTAACTTTTGAGATAGATGCTTAACTCATTAACTTTCAGTCTTTCTTCTTTATTAATATAGCATTTTCTTTTTTTATTTTTAAGCCAGTCAAATTTTAATATAGTACTTTAGGCTATAGATTCTTCCCCTAAATAATGCTTTAGCCTACATCTCACCAGCTTTATATGTAATATTTTAATTGTCATTCAGTTTAAAATATTTTATGATTTCAGCCGGGTGGTGGCTCACGCCTGTAATCCCAGCACTTTGGGAGGCCGAGTCGGGGGGAATCACTTGAGGCCAGGAGATCGAGACCATCCTGGCCAACATGATGAAACCCCGCCTCTACTAAAAATACAAAACTTAGCCGGGCATGGTGGCGGGCGCCTGTAGTCCCAGCTACTCAGGAGGCTGAGGCAGGAGAATCGCCTGAACCTGGGGAAGGCGGAGGTTGCAGTCAGCCGAAATTGTGCCACTGCACTCCAGCCTGGCGACAGAGTGAGACTCCGTCTCAAAAAAATTAAAAAAAAGAGTCATTTGTCTCCTGGAAGAGCTCAGGAAATGTTAGAATCTCTCCTTTGCTTCTCTCCCTCTTGCTGTGCTGTTCCTATTACATTGTAATTATTTGTTTACATGTCTGTTCCACCTTCCCAAGTGAGTTATGTGAGGGAAGGCTTCATGTCACGTCATCTGGTATCCTCAGAAGATAGCAACGTGCCTGGCACATAGTGGGTGAATAAATGGACTCTAGTCCTGTTTCATAAATAGTAATTGAATGAATCTGAAAAAAATCAATCTCTATAGGCAAAAACTCAATGCCATATATCTATGGAATTTTTGCTTTAATTATGGTTAATGATGCTTTAACTGATCCTTGATTGGCCCAAATGATTAGAAAACAGTCATAAACAGTGGCTCATGGCTGTAATCCCAGCACTCTGGGTGGCTGAAAGAGGTGGATCACTTGAGGTCAGGAGTTTGAGGCCAGCCTGGCCAACGTGGTGAAACCCTGTATCTACTAAAAATGCAAAAATTAGCCAGGTGTGGAGGTGGGCACCTGTAATTCTAGGTACTCGGGAGGCTGAGGCAGAATTGCTTGAACCCAGGAGGCAGAGGTTGCAGTGAGCCAAGATCGTGCCACTGTACTCCAGCCTGGGTGACAACACGATACCCTGTCTCAAAAAGGAAAAGACGAAAGAAAGAAAGGGAAAGAAAGAAGAAGAAAGAAAGAAAATATTCATAGAGGTAAGCCTGAGCTTACCCTTAGCAAAACTGCGAAGCTGGTGACATCTGTCTTTGTTTTTTGTTTTTGTTTTTTTGGTTTTTTTTTTTTTTTTTTTTGAGAGGGAGTCTCACTCTGTCACCCAGGGTGGAGTGCAGGGGGGAGATCTTGGCAACCTCCACCTCCCGGGTTCAACCAATTCTCCTGCCTCAGCCTCCTGAGTAGCTGGGAATACAGGCATCCGCCACCACACCTGGCTAGTTTTTTAATTTTTAGTAGACACAGGGTTTCACCAGGTTGACCAGGTTGGTCTCGAACTCCTCACCTCAGGTGACTCGCCACCTTTGGCCTCCCAAAGTGTTGGGATTACAGGCATGAGCCACCATGCCCAGCCGTCTGTCTTTGTTTTTGAACCTGCCTGGCGGCATCCTACTCTTGCTTTCTGTGGCCGTCACTAATCCAGGTACCTTTTCCATCCTCAGCTTGCCCTCAAGGCTGGAAAACACAACATGTGGATTCAGCTTTAAGGCTGAAGAGCATCCAACACTCTGGTCAGTCATGTGTCCTGGATGGAGATGGGAGCTCTGAATGCTTCTTTCCTTAATTTAGCAAAATAAGAGGACAGAAAGAAATATTTATCAGGATTACAACCGCCACTATTTATTGAGTCAGACACTGTTAATCATTTACGTGCATTGTTGCATTTTTGCACTCTTGACAACATTTCTATGAGAGAGATACTACGTTGTTCCCATTGCTGAGGTTAGGAAGTAAAGGCTGACTAGATATGCCCACAGTTCGGCATCTAACAAATGGCAAAGCTGGAATTCAAACTTACCTTCTCTGGTTTAAAGTGGGTGCTTTTTTTTTTTTTTTTTTTTTTTTGAGACAGAGTCTTGCTCTGTCACCTAGACTGGAGTGCAATGGCACAATCTCGGCTCACTGCAACCTCCGCCTCCTGGGTTCAAGTGATTCTCCTGCCTCAGCCTCCCGAGTAGCTGATGGGTCCGGAATTGGTGGGTTCTTGGTCTCACTGACTTCAAGAATGAAGCCGCCAACCCTCGCGGTGGGTGTTACAGTTCTTAAAGGCGGCGTAACCGGAATTTGTTCCTTCTGATGTTCAGATGTGTTCCGAATTTCTTCCTTCTGGTGGGTTTGTGGTCTCACTGGCTCAGGAGTGAAGCTGCAGACCTTCGCAGTGAGTGTTACAGCTCATACAGACAGTGTGAACCCAAAGAGTGAGCAGCAGCAGGATTTTTTGCAAAGAGTGAAAGAACAAAGTTTCCACGGTGTGGAAACTGACCCGAGCGGGTTGCCACTGCTGGCTCGGGCAGCCTGCTTTTAGTCTCTTATCTGGCCCCACCCACATCCTGCTGATTGGTAGAGCCCAGTGGTCTGTTTTGACAGGGCGCTGATTGGTGCGTTTACAATCCTTGAGCCAGATACAAAGGTTCTCCACCTTCCCACCAGATTAGCTGGATACAGAGTTAAGACACACAGGTTCTCCAAGGCCCCACCAGAGTAGCTACATACAGAGTGTCGACTGGTGCATTCACAAACCCTGAGCTAGACATAGGGTGCTGATTGGTGTGTTTACAATCCCTGGGCTAGACATAAAGGTTCTCCACGTCCCCACCAGACTCAGGAGCCCAGCGGCTTCACCCCGTGGATCCCGCACCGGGGCTGCAGGTGGAGCTGCCCGCCAGTCCTGCGCCGCGCGCCCGCGCTCCTCAGCCCTTGGGTGGTCGATGGGACTGGGCGCCGTGGAGCAGGGGGCGGTGCTCATCGAGGAGGCTCCGGCCGCACGGGAGCCCATGGAGGGGGTGGGAGGCTCAGGCACGGCGGGCTGCAGGTCCCGAGGCCTGCCCCGCGGGAAGGCAGCTAAGGCCCGGTGAGAAATCGAGCGCAGCGCCGGTGGGCTGGCACTGCTAGGGGACCCAGTACACCCTCCGCAGCCGCTGACCCGGGTGCTAAGCCCCTCATAAGCCGGCCGGCTGCGCCGCCAAGCCCACACCCACCCGGAACTCCAGCTGGCCCGCAAGCGCTGGGCGCAGCCCCGGTTCCCACTTGCGCCTCTCCCTCCACACCTTCCTGCAAGCTGAGGGAACCGGCTCCGGCCTTGGCCAGCCCAGAAAGGGGCTCCCACAGTGCAGCGGTGGGCTGAAGGGCTCCTCAAGTTCCACCAAAGTGGGAGCCCAGACAGAGGAGGCGCCGAGAGCGAGCGAGGGCTGTGAGGACTGCCAGCACGCTGTCACCTCTCACTGAGACTACAGGCGCACGCCACCACGCCCCGCTAATTTTTGTATTCTTAGTAGAGACAAGGTTTCACTATGTTGGCCTGGCTGGTCTTGAACTCCCGACCTCAGGTGATCCGCCTGCCTTGGCCTCCCAAAGTGCTGGGATTACAGGCGTGAGCCACCGCACCCCACTAAAGCAGGTGCTTTTAACCACTATTCCAAATTCCCAAATGTACAGACCACGGCATTGTCTGAACTGGAAGGCATGGTCAAAACTTTAGTCTGAATTATTAAAATCTTATTGAAGAATTTAATAACTGAGGAAAATAAGCAGAGAAAATATTTCTGGACAAAGGGACCAATTTGTTGCTTCTAAAATTATATCGCATGATATTTTGTTTACTAATATTTGAATTTGGCAATTGTGAGGCTAAGAAAATGGAAATGGGGCTGGGAGCTGTGGCTCATGCCTGTAATCCCAGCACTTTGGGAGGCAGAGGTGAGCAGACCACAAGTTCAGGAGTTCGAGACCAGCCTGGCCAACATAGTGAAACCCCGTCTCTACTAAAAATGCAAAAATTACCCGAGCATGGTGGCGTGCACTTGTAGTACCAGCTACTCAGGAGGCAGAAGCAGGACAATCGCTTGAACCCGGGAGGCAGAAGTTGTAGTGAGCTGAGATCATGCCACGGCACTCCAGCCTGGGCAACAGAGTGAGACTCTGTCTCAAAAAACAAACAAACAAACAAAGAAAATGGAAATGGTTAAGTTAGGGGAGCTGTAGACCAAGTCAGTACTCCAGTGATCAGACGAAGTAGCCCTCCTCAGTTTTTTTTTTTTTTTTTTTTTGAGATGGAGTCTCACTCTGTTGCCTAGGCTGGAATGCAGTGGCATGATCTCAGCTCACTGCAACCTCTGCCTCCCGGGTTCAAGTGATTCTCCTGCCTCAGCTTCCCAAGTAGCTGGGATTACAGGTGCCCGCCACCACGCCCAGCTAATTTTTGTGTTTTTAGTAGAGATGGGGTTTCACCATGCTGGCCAGGCTGTTCTCGAACTCCTGAGCTCAGACAATCTGCCCGCCTCGGCCTCCCAAAGTGCTGGGATTACAGGCATGAGCCACCGCGCCCGGCTCACCATGTTGGTTTCTAAGATTTCCTGTTTGTCTCTTGTTCCTTGTGTAAGAGTAGGTACTATCATAAATCCTGCCCTTAGGGCAAACGACCTTGAGGTCATCATACTTCAGTTCCTGCATAGCCCTTCTGAACCACCCCTCCCCTATGCTACATAAGCCCGGAGTAGGGGAGTGGCAGCCTGCGGATCCACCACCTCCATTAGCTTTTGTTTATAAGTCTCCATTAGGTGATTCCGGCTAAGAAACAGGATTTGTCAGCCTCTTTCTTTGGCCTCTCAGCTTCCTGGGACTCTGGGGCAGGTTTGGATAGTCCTGCCAACCGCAGAACACTCATCAAGGTGGGAGTGGAAACTGCTGCAGAGAAGAATCCCATTTGTGTTTGTGCTCTTACCCAGGGCTGGGATGTGAGGCCCCTCCTCAGTTTTTAACAGGACAAGGCCAGAAATGTATCAAGAATCATTCATTCTTCTGCAGCAAAACAAACCTCCCACTGCTCCCTGGAGAACAAGACAGTTTCAGAAGGGAAAAGATAAGAGTTCTTCTGAGCTTTCAAAGAACTTAATAGGGAGGCAAAAAAGAAAACAAACAAACAGAAAAACAATGCTTTCATAAAGTGAAGGAAAAAAATCTCTGGCTAATCTGATTGTTAAAGTGATTGTACCGAAATAAAAAATCTCTCAAACAGGCCGGGCACGGTGGCTCACGCCTGTAATCCCAGCACCTTGGGAGGCCGAGGCGGGTGGATCACGAGGTCAGGAGATCGAGACCATCCTGGCTAATACGGTGAAACCCCGTCTCCATTAAAAATACAAAAAATTACCCGGGCGTGTTGGTGGGCGCCTGTAGTCCGTTGTAGTCCCAGCTACTCGTGAGGCTGAGACAGAAGAATGGCGTGAACCCGGGAGACGGAGCTTGCAGTGAACTGAGATCGTGCCACTGCACTCCAGCCTGGGCGACAGAGCGAGACTCCGTCTCGAACAACAGCAAAAAATCCCTCAAACATTTGATCATTCCTACTCTTGGAACTAATAATATTAAATATATATTTGTAACATGATTGTTCATATTTTAATTATAGGTTAACAATGGTGCGTTCATACGGTGTTTGCTTGCTTGAAGAAGTTGCTTTATAATTAATATAGTATTAGCATATAATTTGAAACAACTGGCTGGGTGCGGTGGCTCACGCCTGTCATCCCAGAACTTTGGGAGGCCGAGGCGGACAGATCACCTGAGGTCAGGAGTTCGAGACCACCTGGTCAACATGGTGAAACCCCGTCTCCACTAAAAATACGAAAATTAGCCGGGTGTGGAGGTGCATGCCTGTAGTCCCAGCTCCTCGGGAGGCTGGGCAACAAGAGCGAAACTCCATCTCAAAAACAAAACAAAACAAAACAAAATTTTAAAAAAAGCATGAAAGATGTAATTTTTTAAATAAATAAAATTAAAAATAATTGCCTGTTGCTCAGGCTGGAGTGCAGTGGTGCAATCTCCACTCACTGCAACCTTCGCCTCTATGGCAAGAACTTCGGAAGGGCACAAGTCATATTGCATAATGAGCGTGACAAGCCTCAGCTTGTTTATGCCAATATTTCTGACACTCACTTGACCATGGAGGTTTCTGTGAAGGCCACAGCCAGGTACCCAGTAGGCCATTAGTGAGCATCTGTGGTGAACAAATGAACCTTGCAGGCCACACACTGGGAGATGCTGCTGTAAGGCAGAGGATGGTCTACGATAATATTACATACAAAATGCAGGAGATACTCTTTTGAATAGGTGGCGTCTTACTACTCCTTCAAGCCACATACAAGGTTAGCATCCCCACCAAGTCAGCCCTACTTTGTATAGGCTCAGTTTCACTGAATGGAAACTCCTTGAGGGAAGGGATTAATGAATGCTTACTGGATGAATAAATTAACAAACGAATATCAGAATTGCTTGAACCTGGGAGGTGGAGGTTGCAGTGAGCCAAGATCACTCCAGCCTGGGGGACAAGAGCGAGACTTTGTCTGAAAAAAACAAAAAAAAAGTAAAAAAAAAAGTAAGCATGTTGGGCAGTAGGGAGTGGGAACTGAAATGAAAAGCTATGTGTGCTCATATTGGCCAACATCTTAAGTAGAATTAGAATAGTACGGTTCCACCAAAGCTGTCTTCTCAGACACTTGATTTAAGGTAGTCTCTTCCTTGAGATGGCATCCATTTCAGGACAGAATTAGAATATTAGAGGAACTAAAGTTAATTATTAAAGCCTTAAAAAGTATGGGGCTGGGGCTCACCCTAACCAGTGGCATGGTCTTTATTTTTTTATTTAATTAATTAATTTATTTTTTTGAGACAGAGTCTTGCCCTGTTCCCCAGGAGATGGAGTGCAGTGACACGATCTCCGTTCACTGCAACCTCCGCCTCCCGGGTTCAAGAGATTCTCCTGCCTCAGCCTCCTGGGTAGCTGGGATTACAGGCACGCACCACCACGCCCGGCTAATTTTTGCATTTTTTTTAGTAGAGACAAGGTTTCGCCATGTTGGCCAGGTTAGTCTCGAACTCCTGACCTCAGGTGATTCACCCGCCTTGGCCTCCCAAAGTGCTGGGATTACAGGCGTGAACCACCACACCCAGCCTATTTTTTTATTTTTTATGTTGGCCAGACTGGTCTCAAACTCCTGACCTCAGGGAATCCACCTGCCTTGGCCTCCCAAAGTGTTGGGATTACAGGCGTGAGCCACCACACCGGGCTGGCATGGTCTTTATTAACAATGAGGACAGGTGGGGCATGGTGGCTCGGCCTGTAATCCCAGCACTTTGGGAGGACAAGGTGGGCGGATTGCATGAGACTAGGAGTTTGAGACCAACTTGAGCAACATGGTGAAACCCCATCTCTACAAAAAAAACAAAAAAAACAAAAATTATCCAGGCGTGGTGGCGTGCACCTGTAGTTCTAGCTACTTGGGAGGCTGAGGTGAGAGGATCTTGAGCCCAAGAAGTCGAAGTTGCAGTGAACAGAGATCGTGCCACTGCACTCCAGCCTGGATGACAGAGCGAGACCCTGTCTCAAAAAATGTATATATAACAACGACGCTGTTATTTCTGTATGGGAGATGTCTCTGTCCCCAGTCTGCTAGAAGAGAACTGGCCAAAATATATTAATTGAATGAAATAGGAATTACGGGAATTTGGAAATGGAGCTGAAGAAAATGCAGCCAGTGCTAATCCAAGGCTAAGTATTCTCCACGGGGAAGATGACTACGTGGGGGTGTGAGTTCCACGAAGACAGAGCAGCCGAGGAGGAAGGAAGGACCAAGGCCAGGCCTGGATGCCACTGCAGGGAGGGTGGCCTTTTCATTTTCTGTGAGTGTTTCTCATTAGTCAAAAAATGTGCCTGGGTTTGTATCCTCTTGTTTACCAGATGAAGGGTTGCCCTGGGGGGCCTCTGGGCTCTGGGCTACAGTAATGATTGCGGTGAAGAGGATGACAATTTACATTTCTATGGTTCTCCCTAGAGGACTCAGCCTGGGGAGGAGTGTTCTGACTACATTTTAGTGTTAGACGATCAGATTAAAATGAAGGTCAGAGAATCTCACAGAATGCGAAAGGGAAGACCGGCTGGAGAAGTGGGTGGGGAGGATGTTAGGGTGGATTGTTTCTAACCCTCTCTTCCCTCACTGACTCTTTTGCAGGTCAGCACTCCGCCCACCAACTGCCTAGTTCTCTGCTCACTGCAACCTCCGCCTCCCGGGTTCAAGCAATTCTCCTGCCTCAGCCTCCCAAGTAGCTGTGACTACAGGCGCCCGCCGCCATGCCCGGCTAATTTTTTTTTTTTTTTTTTTTTGTATTGTAGTAGAGGCAGGGTTTCACCGTGTTGTCCGGCTAATTTTTGTGTGTGTGTGTGTGTGTGTGTTGTAGTAGAGGCAGGGTTTCACCGTGTTGCCCAGGCTGGTCTCAAACTCTTGAGCCCAGGCAATCCGCTTGCCACCGCCTCTCAAAGTCCTGGGATTACAGGCGTGAGCCACCGCGCCTGGCCTTGGCTTCTTAGTTTGTGGTCATGTTTTTTTCAGGCAAACGCTGAAGTCGTGGCACTTCAACATCAGTGGGAAGGGAGCGCTTTGTAACAACAGGGAGGAAAACTGACTTGTAAATACAAGAGCTCAGGAACCCCATGCGGCCACATTTAAATACCAGCGGGAGAAGTAGGGGTGTTCCCTTCTGCTTGGACCTCCGCTGCCTCAGCTGGAGAGTCTGTTTGTCCAGCGGACAGAAGAGGGAGAAGTACACAGAGCTGATACAGCTTCTGATCGCGCAAATGAAGAGCCATAAATATCTTAGCCGGGCGTGGTGGCGCGGGCCCGTACTCCCAGCTCCTGCGGAGGCTGAGGCACAAGAATCGCTTGAACCCAGGAGGCGGAGGTTGCAGTGAGCTCAGATTGCGCCACTGCACTCCAGCCTGGGTGATAGAGCGAGACTGTCTAAAAAAAAAAAAAAAAAAAAAAAAAAGAAGAAGAAGAAGAGCCAGAAATATCAACATAGAAGGAATTTAGAACAAAGCAAGTCACAAAAACTATAGCAGTCATCTAACCCAGCCTTCCACGGGGTGCAGCTCTCTCTGCTGCCTGTGCAACCCACGCTTGAAGGCCTTTATTCGGGAGGAATTTAGGAGCTACCTCCCAGGCAGCTCGAGTATGTGATAAAAAGTTCCTTCTTAGATTAGGCCAAAATTTACTTCCTGGTAACTTTTACCCTTTGGAGTAATAACAGCGAATCCATTCCTTTTTCCTTCTACACCATTGCCTTCCTACTAGTTGAAGACAGTCCCTAGTCCCTGTAAACACTCTCTTCTCAGAGGCAGGGAAGCCAGAGGCAGGAAACAGTGGCTCCTGAGTCGGGGCACTCCCTCCCAGCATCCCAACAGGACAAGCATCCTGGCCTCTACGTCCTGAGGTCGCGTTGCTGGCCAAAGTCTTTAGGATACGCAAATATAAAACAAATGGTGATAATAACATTTGGACAAAATAGTATCGTTTCTTCTCTATTCTTGTCAAACCTCTCAAGTAAAGGTTATATTGTGAAAAATTCTAAACAACGAAGGCAAGGCAAAGATTTGCAAAGTACATGGTAAAGGTATACTCTCCTTAATGAAGTGGTGTTCAAAAGTTGTTTTAAGACTTTTTTTTTTTACAGGTGCAGTGGCTCACACCTGTAATCCCAGTACTTCGGGAGGCTGAGATGGAAGGATCACTTGAGCCTGGATGTTCAAGGCTGCAATGAGCTGTGGCTGCACTGCTGCACTCCAGCCTGGGAGACAGAATGAGACTCTGTCTTGAATAATAATAATAATAATAATAATAATTGTTTTAAGATTTTTTATTTTTTGAGACGGAGTTTCACTCTTGTTGCCCAGGCTGCAGTGCAATGGCACGATCTCAGCTCACCGCAACCTCCACCTCCTGGATTCAAGTGATTCTCCTGCCTCAGCCTCCCGAGTAGCTAGGATTAGAGATATGTGCCTCCACGCCTGGCTAATTTTGTATTTTTAGTAGAGACGAGCTTTCTCCATGTTGGTCAGGCTGGTCTCGGACTCCCGACCTCAGGTGATCCACTCGCCTCGGCCTCCCAAAATGCTGGGATTACAGGCGTGAGCCACCGTGCCTGGCCTAAGATTTTTTTTTTTTTGAGACAGAGTCTTGCTCTGTTGCCCAGGCTGGACTGCAGTGGCATGATCTCGGCTCACTGCAACCTCCGCCTCCCGGGTTCAAGCGATTCTCCTGCCTCAGCCTCCTGAGTAGCTGGGATTACAGGCGCATGCCATCACGCCGGCTAATTTTTTGTATTTTTAGTAGAGACGGGGTTTCACCTGTTGGCTAGGCTGGTCTCGAACTCCTGACCTCATGATCCGCCCTCCTCGGCCTCTCAAAGTGCTGGGATTACAGGCATGAGCCACTGCATCTGGCCAATATTTTTTTTTTAAGAGCAGTTTTAGGTTCACAGCAAAATTGACAGGAAGCACCAGAGATTTCCCATATATCCCTGTCCCCACACACTCACAGTCTCTCCCATTGTCAACCAGAGAGTGACACATTTCTTACGATTTTTTTTTTTTTTTGAGACGGAGTCTTGCTCTGTCGCCCAGGCTGGAGTACAGAGGTGCCATCTCGACTCACTGCAAGCTCCGCCTCCCAGGTTCACGCCATTCTCCTGCCTCAGCCTCCCGAGTAGCTGGGACTACAGGTGCCTGCCACCACGCCCGGCTAATTTTTGGTATTTTTAGTAGAGACGGGGTTTCACCATGTTAGCCAGGATGGTCTCGATCTCCTGACCTTGTGATCCGCCCTCCTCGGCCTCCCAAAGTGCTGGGATTACAGGCGTGACCCACCGCACCTGGCTATTTCTTACGATTAATGAGCCCACCCTGACACATCATCACCCAAGTCTACAGTTTACGTTCGTGTTCACTCTAGGTGTTTTACTAAATTTAATGGACAAATAAGAGCTAATACTTCTGAAGTGCTTACTGCAAGCCAAGCACTGTTCTTCGTGTTTTGCATGTGCTATGAAGTAATTTAATTTTTACAATGACTCTATGCATTACCTGATGTCCCCACTTTACAGACAGGGACACTGTTTGAGATTGGTTACTTGTTTGAGATCGAACAGCTGATGAATGAGGCAGAAGTGGATGGAGCTCAGGTGGTCTGGTCCAGTCTGTTCCTGTGCTCTTGACCACCCTGCTGTGCTGTCTCTATGGACGGGGACACAGAAAGAGAAGTCGACAAGGGAAAAGGAGAAATCTCACCAGCAGCTAGGGACATTTAGGGTGAGGCA
The DNA here is from genome assembly GCF_000001405.40 of Homo sapiens. Classification (NCBI taxonomy): domain Eukaryota; kingdom Metazoa; phylum Chordata; class Mammalia; order Primates; family Hominidae; genus Homo; species Homo sapiens. Next base: position 152,547,348 of record NC_000007.14, read on the forward strand.
CTGAGACACTGTCTGTTTTGAACCTTCAACTGAAAAAAATCTCATGTTTGTGAAGTCACAGGGAAAAGGCCATTTTCTGTGCTGCCGAAGGCGTTCCATCATGAAGGACGGGCTAACACCAGGCACCAACAAAATGTGTAGCTCAGGAGTGCTATTTATAAGACCTTGGCGGCGCATGGTGGCTCACGCCTGTAATCCCAGCACTTCAGGAGGCTGAGGTGGGCGGATCACTTGAGGTCAGGCATTCGAGACCAGCCTGGTCAACATGGTGAAACCCCGTGTCTACTAAAAATACAAAAATTAGCCGGGCATGGTGGCAGGCATCTATAATCCCAGCTACTTGGGAGGCTGAGGCACGAGAATCCTTTCAACTCAGCAGGTGGAGCTTGCAGTGAGCTGAGATCATGCCACTGCATTCCAGCCTGGGTGACAGTGCGAGACTCAGTCTCAACAACAACAACCAAAAACCTTATCCTGAGGGGCTAAGTAAGAATCACACAAAAGTTTAGTTATTGGCTGGGCACAGTGGGTCATGCCTGTAATGCCAACACTTTGGGAGGCTGAGGTGGGCAGATCACCTGAGGTCGGTAGTTCGAGACCAGCCTGGCTAACATGGTGAAACCCTGTCTCTACTGAAAATACAAAAATTAGCTGGGTGTAGTGGCAGGTGCCTGTAATCCCAGCTACTGGGGAGGCTGAGGCGGAAGAATCACTTGAACCCGGGAGGCGGAGGTTGCAGTGAGCAGAGATTGCGCCATTGCACTCCAGCCTGGGGAAATAAGAGGGAAACTCCATCTTAAAAAAAAAAAAATTAGTTACAAACAATCTCAGAGTTGGTATGGTAGAGTGGCTATGATAGAGAAAAGTTAAGAAAAAAAAACAAACTTTTGGCTGGGCGTGGTGGCTCACGCCTGTAATCCCAGCACTTTGGGAGGCCGACGCAGGTAGATCACAAGGTCAGGAGTTTGACACCAGCCTGGCGAAAGAGACCAGCATGGTGAAACCCCATCTCTACTAAAAATACAAACGTTGGCCGGGCATGGTGGTGGATGCCTGTGATCCCAGCTACTCGGGAGGCTGAGGCAGGAGGATTGCTTGAACCCAGGAGGCATAGGTTGCAGTGAGCTGAGATCGTGCCATTATTCTCCAGCCTGGGCAACAGAGCAAGACTCTGACTCAAAAAAAAAAAAAAAAAAAAGAAAAAGAAAAAGAAAAAACCAAACTTTCAACACAAGGAGATTGATTACATGAAGCAAGACACATTCTTTTTGTTGCTGTTGCTGTTGTTGTTTTGAGATGGAGTCTTGCTCTGTCGCCCAGGCTGGACTGCAGTGGCGTGATCACGGCTCACTGCAACCTCTGCCTCCTGGGCTCAAGCGATCCTCCTGCCTCAGCCTCCCTTGCAGCTGGGATTACAGGCATGCGCCACCACGCCTGGCTAATTTTTGTATTTTTAGTAGAGACGGGGTTTCACCATGTTGGCCAGGCTGGTCTCGAACTCCCGACCTCAAGTGATCCGCCCACCTCAGTCTCCCAAAGTGCTGGGACTACAGGCGTGAGCCACCACGCCTGGCCTTAGGACACATTCTTAAAGTGGGTGCCAGGCAGTCAACAGAAAAACTTGCTAACATTTTTAATTTTTAATTTTTATTTTTATTTTCAGACAGAGTCTTGCTCTGTTGCCCAGGCTGGAGTGCAGTGATGCGAGCTTGGCTCAACTGCAACCTCTGCCTCCCGGGTTCAACTGATTCTCCTGCCTCAGCCTCCAGAGTAGCTGGGACTACAGGCACACACCACCACGCCTGGCTACTAAAGTTGCTAACATTTTGCCAGACAAGAATTTCAAAAGACACTGGGTGTGGTGTCTCACACCTGTAATCCCAGCACTTTGGGAGGCCAGGGTGGGAGGATTGCTTGAGGAAGGAGTTCGCCACCAGCCCAGACAACAAAGGGAGACCCCATCTCTACAAAATAAATAAATAAAAAGAATTTCAAAAGAATTTTTCACACATGGCAATGTGTTTGTGATATGTGGGAAAAAAACAGGTTTCAATGTAAGAATAAATCACTATTTTCTCATTGTTCTGCTGAGAAATGATCGTAAAGATTTATGCCAGGCCGGGCACGGTGGCTCATGCCTGTAATGCCAGCACTTTGGGAGGCCGAGGCGGGCAGATCACCTGAGGTTGGGAGTTCGAGACCAGCCTGTCCAACATGCTGAAACCCCGTCTCTACTAAAAATACAAAAATTAGCCGGGAGTGGTGGAACACGCCTGTATTCCCAGCTACTCGGGAGGCTGAGGCAGGAGAATCGTTTGAACCTGGTAGGTGGAGGTGCAATGAGCCACAGGCCACTACACTCCAGCCTGGGTGACAGTGCGAGATTCCATCTCAAAAAAAAAAAAAAAAAAAAAAAAGACATATGCCAAGTTGTAATTAGTGATTATTTCTCAATGAAGTAATGGTGATTTGATTTTCTTCTTTGAGTCTATTGTATTTTTTTTCCAAATTCAACACAAAAAAGGTAGTAATAGGAAAGTAAACAGTATTTTTAATTAAAAATAGTAAGCAGAACATTTCAAAATAAAGCACCTATTGGGACTCTACTGTGAGAAAAATAGCCCATCTCCCATGGCACCTCATTGTCAAAGTCCACAGGGGTCTCTGAAAAATGGTGATTATACTTTTGTCTCACTATTAACACACAGATCCCATCAGAATGCAGTCATTTTCTTGTAAAGGAGAAAGTTCTTGGTAAGGAAGCCACAAGTAGAAATAGTTTTCCATTTTCCTTAAATTTGTCCTTGAAAGTTTTATACCTGAGTATGGACTCTCTCAAGCAGCTTTCCTAAGGAGGTCAAAATGCTGATGCTGAAGTTTGTCTCTGTTGCCCCCTAGGACCACCACCTTTATGGGGACCGAGAGTCTCCAGGGAAATTCTACTTTGTAATGAGATGTTTTCTTCCTTTATCTGATGACTCCTAAGCTGGACAAAATCTGTTCTGTAAATAAAGGTGGCGAATGCCTCAGTCGGTACTCCTGGGTCCTGTTTGAAGCAGAAGAATGTGAGAGGCTCTTAGTGATGCACTTTGGGCCAGGGTGTGTCTTGTGCATTGGTGGCTCAGCCCGGACAGCCGGCACCCCACATCAGGGAGGGCTGATGGCAGCTTTCTGGACAGCTTGAGGCTACAGGATACACATCGGGTCTGTGCTAGACCTGCTGGTAGAAGAAGTGCTCTTTCACGGAATGGTTCTCTTTCTTGAACTTGCCTATGGCAAGGGCAGAAAAGAAACATGGGGTCTGGGCTTTTCAATCAGGTTGTATATCTCTTCACTGATCTTCCTTCCCACTCTCCCCACCCAGATGGCCCAGGCCTGCTCATTCCTCATTTCCACCGCGAGCATCACCTCGCACAGTCCTCAACAACCCCAGCCTCTGCCCCCACTAACCCACCCTGCCAGCTCTCCCTCGAAGACGTCCTCCTCCATGTTCATGCTGACGTTGCCTTTCTTGTTTGTGTTTCATCCACCTGTAAAATACAAGTTTCAAGGCCAACTCAGAGGACAAAGAAACTGCTTCAGGCCCGGTGCTGTGGCTCACACCTGTAATCCCAGCACTTTGGGAGGCCAAGGTGGGTGGATCACTTGAGTTCGGGAGTTCGAGACCAGCCTGACCAACGTGGAGAAACCCCGTCTCTATTAAAAATACAAAATTAGCCAGGCGTGGTGGCGCATGCCTGTAATCCCAGCTACTCAGAAGGCTGAGGCAGGAGAATCGCTTGAACCTGGGAGGTGGAGGTCGTGGTGAGCCGAGGTCATGCCATTGCGCTCCAGCATGGGCAACAAGAGCAAAACTCTGTCTCAGAAAAAGAAAAAAAAAATTAGCTGGGTGTGGTGGCGCCTGCCTGTAGTCCCAGCTACTCAGGAAGCTGAGGCAGGAGAATCGTTTGAACCTGGGAGGCGGAGGTTTCAGTGAGCTGAGATGGCACCACTGCACTCCAGCCTGGACGACAGAGCAAGACTCTGTCTCAAAAAAAGAAAAGAAAAGAAAACTGCTTAAGGTTCATCTTTGAGCTGGAGAGTTAGTCTTTAATAAATGCCGTCCTGCAGCAGAGATGCACTGTGGACACATAGCAGGAGGTGAGGAAAGCAAGCTTGCCAATGGATGAGTAATTGAGGAAAACCGGGGAATAACTAGGAGACTAATCAAAGTCTGAGAACATCATTTAAAATGACCAAGTCAACCAGGCATGGTGGCTCATGCCGCCCAGAGTTTGGAAGGCCAAGACGGGAGGATTGCTTGAGGCCAGGCGTTTTGAGACCAGCCTGGGCAACATCGTGAGACCCTACCCCTACAGAACATAAATAAATAAATAAATAAGTATAAAAATACCACGTCAATGTGTTTTGCAACTTACACAGTGTTTGTCTCATTGTGGCAGGATCCTGTGCTAGGTTGTGTATTTAGCAGACAAAGGCCCAAGATAAGAAATAAGCTTGGCAGATAGGTATGGAAGAAGGTCAGGTGGCTGACAAAGTTCAAGGTAGAACAGAGGACTCAGTGCAGTGGGTGGCAGGGAAAACTGATGATATCAGTCTGGAATTACCAGATTAGACTTTTTTTTTTTTTTTTTTGAGACGGGATCTCACTGTGTTGTCAAGGCTGGTCTTGAACTACTGAGCTCAAGCAATCCTCCTGTCTCAGCCTCCTGAGTAGCTGGGACTTCAGGGGCACACCACCGTGCAGCTTTCAGCCCAGATTTTCACTGAAGAAGTGCAAGTACAGAAATGCAAATTTTAGGGCCAGCGCAGTGGCTAACGCCTGTAATCCTAGCACTTTGGGAGGCCGAGGCGGGTGGAACACTTGAGGTCAGGAGTTCAAGACCAGCTTGGCCAACATGGTGAAACCTTGTCTCTACTAAAAATATAAAAAAGCTGGGCGTGGTGGCAGGCACCTGTAATCCCAGCTACTCAGGAGCCTGAGGCAGGAGAATCACTTGAACCTGGGAGGTGGAGTTTGCAGTGAGCCAAAGTCGTGCCACTGCACTCCAGCCTGGGCAACAGCAAGACTCTGTCTCAAAAAAATAAAATAAAAAAATAAAAAATGCAGAGATAGTAGAAAACCCAGGGGGTGAGCAAGAGGAAGAAGGGAGCATTAGGAAAAGTGTCAGGTGACATAAGGCAGCCTTGCCCTGGCTGCTCCCGTTCCCTGACTTAAGCATGGCTGGCAACTTTGCTTCCTGCCCACCTCTTCCATGAAGCCCTCTGTGACCCTTTGGTTTGAAATAGCTGCCCAATCACTCTGTCCATCAGGTTATTTCATATCTCAGCCAAGCACTTATCACTCCCTGTTATTTTCTTGTTTGTCAGTTTACTCCCTGTCTCTCTCAATAAGGATGTCAGTGCTCTGCAAGCAGAGACCTTGGGTGGCAGAATCTAGAACTGCCTGCACACAGTACATGCTCAGTAAGCATTGCTGAATGTGTCTACCTCTCCCATTCATCTTTGAATTTAACTACCAAGCAACATGGCTGGATATAAAGAAGGAAACCCATAAGTTACTGGCACATAGTTTGTCTCATGCACATTTTGACATTGAATATATTAACAGTGACAAGTCCTTCCCTCATATACCTGTCGAATGAATGTATCTTGCACTGTTCTCTGACAAACTGTCCTATTCATGCTGGCCTTGTCATTTTATCATTCTCAACACATCCCCACACTTGCCTGACTTCTCTGCCTTTACACACAGTGTCGTCAACACTGAGGCACTATTCCTTTTCCTTCTATCTATGGACAGCCAACCCATGCTTTAGATTCCAGTTCAACTCTCTTTTCTTTTTCTTTTCTTTTTTTTTTTTTTTTGAAACAGAGAAACAGAGTCTTGCTGTTGTTGCCCAGGCTGGAGTGCAATGGCACGATCTTGGCTCACCACAACCTCTGCCTCCCAGGTTCAAGCAATTCTCCTGCCTCAGCCTCCCGAGTAGCTGGGATTACAGGTGCACGCCACCACACCCAGCTAATTTTTGTTTTTTAGTAGAGACTGGGTTTCACCTGTTGGTCAGGCTGGTCTTGAACTTCCGACCTCGTGATCTGCTCGCCTCGGCCTCCCAAAGCGCTGGGATTATGCTTCATCATCCTATTGGGAACAGACTCCACAGCTGGGTGCAGGAGTGGTCTGTGGCTCCTGTCTGTCGGATGACAGCTTCACGTTACCCCCAGCACAGAGGTGGCACTGGGATAGGCACACGACTCTGCAAAGCCAATCGGGTACCAGGAGAATTTTGCTGAGGGCGTTGGGATTATGGCAGGTGCTCCTCCCTGTGGTGCTTGATTTGAGAGCATTAAGGCCTGGAGCTAAGTAGCCACTGATATGGTTTGGCTCTGTGTCCCCACCGAAATCTCCTGTTGAATTGTAATTGCCAGCACGGGAGAACGGGCCTGGTGGGAGGTGATTGGATATTGGGGATGGACGTCCCCCTTGCTATTCTCCTGATAGTGAGGGAGTTCTCGCGAGATCTGGTTGTTTAAAAACGTGTAGCCGCCCCCCACCCCCCACCCCCCCGCGCCCCGCCCCACGCTCTTCCTCCTTGTGCAGCTTCCCTTTCGCCTTCTGCCATGATTGGAAGCCTCCTGAGGCCTGTGCAGCCACGTGAGTCAATTAAACCTCTTTTCTTTATAAATTACCCAGTCCCAGGTAGTTCTTTATGGCACTCTGAGAACGGACTAATACAGCCACCTTGTGAGCCTAAGGGAGAAGCGTGCTGGGGACGTGACCCTCCCCCAACAAACTCCTGCCTCTTGTGGAGGGAATGGCATGTTTGAAGGAAAAGGTCTGGCATTTAGGGGAAATGCAAGAAGTTGTGTGTATGAATGTAGAGGGAAGAGGCAGGTGGGAATAGGGTGGGGAGAGGCTCTATATGAAGGAAGAGAGGTAGGCAGGGTCCTGATCATATAGGACTTTGAGGAAGCCAAAGGACCTTGTCCCTTTCTTCCCCTGAGCTTACATTCTGGGAGCTCCAGGTTAGACAGGACCACACGAGGCCTTTGAGCTCCTGGGGGAATACAGATATGTTCTTGGGTGTTTGAAAGAGTTCTATGAGAATTTTGCAATTTTGTATTTTAGTTTTGAAAAACAATGTGACTTTTACTTTTTTTTAATTTAAAATTTTATTTTTATTTATTTGGCAAATAAACATTGTGTGTGTGTGTATGTATATATTTATTTATTGAGACAGGGCCTTGCTCTGTTGCCCAGGCTGGAGTGCAGTGGCGCCATCTCGGCTCATTGCAGCTTCAACCTCCTGGGCTCAAGTGATGCTCCCACTTGAACCACAGGTGTGCACCACCATGCACAGCTAACTCTTTTATTTTTTGTAGAGATGGAGTCTTGCTATGTTGCCCGGGCTGGTCTCAAACTCCTGGACTTAAGAGATCCTCCCACCTTGGCCTCCCAAAGTGCTGGGATCACAGGTGTGAGCCACCAACCCTGGCCTAAAAATTGTATATTTTTATTGTGTATACCATGATGGGTTTTTTTGTTTGTTTGTTTTGTGAGACAGGTTTTGCTCTGTTGCCCAGGGTGGGGTGCAGTGGTGCGATCTCGGCTTACTGCAACCTCCTCCTCTTGGGTTCAAGCAATTCTTGTGCCTCAGCCTCCCAAGTGCTGGGACTACAAGCGCATGCCACCATGCCTGGCTAATTTTTTTTTTTTTTTGGAGACAAAGTCTCACTCTGTCGCCCAGGCTGGAGTGCAGTGATGCGATCTTGGTTCACTGCAATCTCTGCCTCCTGGGTTGAAGCAATTCTCCTGCCTCAGCCTTCCGAGTAGCTGGGATTACAGGTGCACACCACCATGCCCGGCTAATTTTTGTATTTTTAATAGAGACGGGGTTTCACCATGTTGGTCAGGCTGGTCCTGAACTGCTGACCTCGGGCAATCCGCCTGCCTCGGCCTCCTGAATTGCTGGGATTACAGGCGTGAGCCACTGCGCCTGGCCAATTTTTGTATTTTTTAAGTAGAGACAGGGTTTTGCCAGGTTTGCCAGGCTGGTCTTGAACTCCTGACCTCAAACGATCCGCCCACATTGGCCTCCCAAAGTGCTGGGATTATAGGCATGAGCCACTGTGCCTGGCCCACCATGATTCTTTGAATAGAATGGCTACATCAAGCAAACTGACATATGCATTACCTCCTGTACTTACTTTTGTGTGTGTGTGTACAATACATTTTCTTTTTTCTGTGAGATGGAGTCTCGCTCTGTTGCCCAGGGTGGAGTGCAGGGTGCAATGTCGGCTCACTGCAACCTCTGCCTCCCAGGTTCAAGCAATTCTCTGCCTCAGCCTCCCACGTAGTGGGATTACATGCGTGCACCACCATGCCCGGCTAATTTTTGTATTTTTAGTAGAGATGAGGTTTCAGCATCTTGGTCAGGCTGGTCTTGAACTCCTGACCTCACGATCCACCTGTAAATCCAGGTTGGATTACAGGCGGGAGCCACCGCCTCCGGCCCACAATATATTTTCTAAACTAGCTGGTGATCACCCATGACTGAGTGTCCGCATACCATATCAGGCTTGCGCATGTGTCCTGGTACTAGTTGTTCATTTGCCCTCTTCCCTCTCTGGTCTCCACCACCCACCTTTCTCCACCCGGCAGAAACTGATCAGTATGGACGGAATCCACAGGCTCCCTTGCCTTTTGCTTTCTGGTGTGAGGAGCCCTGGCGGGAGGGGACGACAGCAAGAGTGAGGCCTCTCCCAGCGAGCCTGGCCCTGGCTGTCTGTGCCCCTAGACCAAAGGTCACATGTCTCACGGTGGCTTCTCTCCTTGACTCCCTCCTCCTGTTTGGGGGCCCCTCACCGTCCTGTGTCCTGTAAGCCTAGCAGCTCCTCTGCCATCAGCCCCTGGTTTCCGCACCACCTCAGCACATGCCAGGCGTCTCCTTGTAAGTCAACCCTCCCCCGAGTACCCAAGGCTCGGTGAGCCCGCCACCTTCTGTTGGGATCCTGACTGATACAGGCATCGGGTAGGATGACTTTTACTTTTCCGCATTAATTACAAGAGAGAGATAGTTGGACTGAATCTGGGAAAGATTCATTCAAATTGAATGAAGGCTCGATGACATCAAGAGCCTTGTGCCTCGCGCCGTTCACATAAGGATACTGAGCAGTTTGAATGGAGAAAAGCAGTAGAAAAACCGACTTCGCACAGCAGTTGCCGGTGGCTGCCAGGCAGTGGCAATCTGTACTGTGTTCTTGTATGGAGAGTGATTTCATTTCAGCAAAACAACATCAACTGTTACATTCAGTTAGAGCTGTTAATTTGACTTCTATTTGCCTTATACTTGTGTCTGTATATTATTTGCAAATTGTTTGGTTTTATTATAGTATAAAATTCATAATCTTTTTTTTTTTTTTTTTTTTTTGAGACGGAGTCTCGCTCTGTGGCCCAGGCTGGAGTGCAGTGGCACAATCTCGGCTCACTGCAAGCTCTGCCTCCTGGGTTCAGGCCATTCTCCTGCCTCAGCCTCCCAAGTAACTGGGACTACAGGCGCCCGCCACCACGCCCGGCTAATTTTTTGTATTTTTAGTAGAGACGGGGTTTCACTGTGTTAGCCAGGATGGTCTCGATCTCCTGACCTCATGATCCGCCTGCCTCTGCCTCCCAAACTGCTGGGATTACAGGCGTGAGCCACCGCGCCTGGCCAAAATTCACAATCTTAAGCGTTTATACCTAGGTTCATGTTTATTACTTTTTTTGTGTGTGTGTGAGGTAGAGTTTCACTCGTTGCCCAGGCTGGAGTGCAGTGGCGCGATCTCAGCTCACTGCAACCTCCGCCTCCTGGGTTCAAGTGTTTCTCCTGCCTCAGCCTCCTGAGTAGCTGGGATTGCAGGCATGCGCCACCACGCCCAGCTAATTTTGTATTTTTAGTAGAGATGGGGTTTCACCATGTTGGTCAGATTGATCTCGAACTCCTGACCTCTGGTAATCCACCCGCCTCAGCCTCCCAAAGTGCTGGGATTACATGTGTGAGCCACCACACCTTGCCCATGTTTATTACTTGTAAATGGTACTATGATAAAATAATTTGATTTTTTAAGAATGGCTCCATACATCCCTCAACTTGAGAACACTGGTCTAGTCCAACATTTCCTCTGCTGCGGAAATGCTTCTGATACACCAGAGGCTCCATATCCATTTGTCAAAAAGGTTTGACATTAAACTAAAGTTAAACATTTCCAATCATGCATCCTGATTTTGCCCACTATAGTGACCCTCATGAAAAGTCCAAGCTCTTTTCTATGGAACAGTTTTCCATCGCTGATATCCCATAATAGCACTCCCATCTCTCCATTCCTGTTTCTCAAATGCTTACCCCAATCCCGGGTCTCAATGCAAACGCCCTCCTCCGTGAAGGAGTCCTTCACGTTCTTCCCCTGACCAGAAGCGGCCTCCCCTCACTGGAACTTTCACAGTGAATCATAGCCCACTGTGCGTGCCGGTTGCCGGTGCATAGCTTCCTTTCTCCTGTTAGTTTTTGCTTTTGGAAAGCAGGATTTGTTATTCATTCATTTGTACTCACTGTAGCCCTGACCAGTGTCTAACATATATAGATGTTTAATAAATATTGAATTAAAGGAATCAGTGAAAAGTGTAAGAATATATTACACACACACACAAATGAAAAATAGAAAAGTTCTGCATAAATGTATAATACACATTTGCCTCTTTTTTTTTTTTTTTGAGATGGAGTCTTGTTCTGTCGCCCAGGCTGGAGTGCAGTGGTGTGATCTTGGCTCACTGCAACCTCTGCCTCCCAGGTTCAAGTGATTCTCCTGCCTCAGCCTCCTGAGTAGCTGGGACTATAGGTGCCTGCCACCATGCCCGGCTAATTTCTGTATTTTTAGTAGAGATGGGGTTTCGCCATATTGGCCAGACTGATCTTGAACTCCTGACCTCCAGTGATCTGCCTTGGCCTCCCAAAGTGCTGGGATGACAGGCGTGAGCCCCCGCACCCGGCCTGCCTGGTATTTTTAGTATTCGTTCTCTCTGAACCAGGAGCCCGCTTCAGGCTGCCGTCTAGCAGCACCACTGAATGCTGTGTGTTAACCTGCAGACTTCAACTTCTCTGTGCTAGAGGCCACCTTCTGTTTGTAAAGCGCCAGAATTTCCTTGTCCCTCACACCACTTCTCTAAATGGAGTCTAACATCAGCCTCTTTTTTTTTTTTTTTTTTTGCAAGACAGAGTTTCGCTCTTGTTGCCCAGGCTGGAGTGCAATGGCGCAATCTCGGCTCTCTGCAACCTCTGCCTCCCTGGTTCAAGTGATTCTTCTGCCTCAGCCTCCCGAGTAGCTGAGACTACAGGCGTGCGCCACCACGCCCGGCTAGTTTTTGTATTTTTAGTAGAGATGGGGTTTCACCATGTTGACCAGGATGGTCTCGAACTCCTGACCTTGTGATCTGCCTGCCTCGGACTCCCAAGGTGTTGGGATTACAGGCATGAATCACTGCGTCTAGCTGAGTTCAAACAATTCTCCTGCCTCAGCCTCCCGAGTAGCTGGGACTACAGGTGCCCGCCACCACACCCGGCTAATTTCTGTATTTTTTTTTTTTTAGTAGAGATGGAGGTTTCACCATATTGGCCAGGCTGGTCTCAAACTCCTGACCTCAAGTGATCCACCTGTCTCAGCCTCCCAAAGTGCTGGGATTACAGGCATAAGCCACCACACCCTGCCCAAAACTCGGAACTTTAAAAGAATAGATAGGGAGTCACTGATTATTTATTTTATAGCAGATTTTTAAAAATACCTGGTTTCCCAAGTTATTTGAATCCTCATTGATTTTAAGGCTGGATAGTCCTTAAACATTATCTATAATACTTTAACACTTAATGTTTTACAAGTGAAGAAATAGGCCATCTGTTTGTTCAGTTTATTCCGGGACTCTTCAACCCTGTGGGTAGAAAATCACAGAGCAAAGCAGATGAATGTCATTGCCAAGCAATGGATGTCATTGCTAAGTTGAAGGCCGGCTTCATTTGGGGGCCTCAGCATTACAGAGTGATTGAGCAACCTTTTAATTACCCTCTGGTCACCACCCCTACCTTCAAATGCTATCCCGACCTGTCTCACTCCCTCTTCCTTTTTTATTCCCTTTCCCAAACTCATTCTTCACAGCCAAACTTGTCCTCATTCAACAAATATTTATTAAGTGCCTTCTGTGTCCCAGATATAGCTCCAGATGCCGTGGGGAGAGCAGCACCTTAGGCCAAGGTTCCTGATCTCAAGAAGCTTCTTTTTTTTTTTTTTTTTGAGACAGGGTCTTACTTTGTCACCCAAGCTGGATTGCAGTGGTAGGAACATGGCTCACTGCAGCTTCGACCTCCTGGACTCAAGTGATCCTTCTGTTGCAGCCTTCCATGTGGGACCACAGGCCCACGCCATCATGCCTGGCTGAGTTTTTGATTTTTTGTAGAGGGGGGTCTCACTTTGTTGCCCAGGCTGATCTCAAACTACTGGCCTCAAGTGATCCTCTTGCCTCAGCCTCCCAAAGTGCTGGGATTACAGGCGTGAGCCACCATGACCTGCCAGAAGCTTCTAGTCTTGTCGGGGCCCGGGGAAGCCAGGCAACACATAAACAGGCAAACTCACACATTTTTTTTCAAACACATTTTTAAAAGTGATGGTGAAAGGTAATTAAAAATAGACTGGTGCAATGGCACATGACTATAATGCCAGCGCTTTGGGAGGCCCAGGTGGTAGGATCACTGGAGGCCAGGAGTTCAAGACCAGCCTGGGCAACATGGTGAAATCCCCATCTCTACAACTCTACACACACACATACACACACAATTATCCAGGCATGGTGGGGTATGCCTGTAGTCCCAGTTACTTGGGAGACTGAGGCAGGAGGACTGCTGAAGCCCAGAGGTCGCGGCTGCAGTGAGCTATGATTGCACCACTGCACTCCAGCCTAAGTGACAGAGCAAGACCCTGTCTTTTTTTTTTTTTTTTTTTAGATGGAGTCTTGCTCTGTCACCCAAGCTGAGTGCAATGGCATGATCTTGGTTCACTGCAAACTCTGCCTCCCGAGTAGCTGGGATTACAGGCGTGCCCGGCTAATTTTTGTATTTTTAGTAGAGATGAGGTTTCACAATGTTGGCCAGGCTGGTCTCGAACTCCTGACCTCAGGTGATCTGCCCGCCTTGGCCTGTCAAAGTGCTGGGATTACAGGTGTGAGCCACCAGGCCCAGCCTACCTGTCTTTAAAAAAAAAAAAAAAAAAAAAAAAGAGTGATGTGATACAGTGACTATTTTACATTAAGTGATCCTTAAAGGTTTCTAGGAGGGGAGATGTCTAATCTGAGTTCTGGAGGAACAAAAAGTTCAGCTTTTCAAAGTTCAGAAGACTATCCTGGGCAGTGGCGCAAGTGAAAAAGTAGCAACAATTATGTACGGAAAAGTAGACAGGTGGCAGGTCATGTTGAGCTTTTCAATTCAGGGGATCAAGTTTAGATATTATCCCAAGTGAGGCTGGAAACCATTTGAATAGTTTAAGTGGAGTTGTGGCAAATTTTTATGTGTACTTTAAAATGGGGGCCCCCAACCCCAGGGCCACATGCCAGCACTGGTCTGTGGCCTGTTAGGAACCAGGCTGCACAGCAGGAGGTGAGTGGCAGGTGAGGGAAGCTGAGCTCCACCTCTGTCCAATCAGTGGCGGCATTAGATTCTCATAGGAGCTCGGGCCCTATTGTGAATTTCATATGTGAGGGAGCTAGGTTGCGTGCTGCTTGTGAGAATCTAATGCCTGGTGATCTGTCCCTGTCTCCCATCACCCCCAGATGGGACCATCTAGTTGGAAGAAAACAAGCTCAGGACTCCCACTGATTATGGTGAGTATGTAATAATACAACTAAAGTACATAATAAATGTAATGTGTTTGAATCATGCCGAAATCATCCCGTTGCCCCCCATGGAAAAATTGTCTTCCATGAAACCAGTCCCTGGTGCCAAAAAGTTTGGGGACTGCTGGCTGGGTGCGATGGCTCACGCCTGTAATCCCAGCACTTTTGGAGGCTGAGGCGGGTGGATCACCTGAGGTCAGGAGTTCGAGACTAGCCTGGCCAACATGGTGAAACCCTGTCTCTACTAAAAATACAAAAATTAGCCGGGTGTGGTCATGGGCACCTGTAATCCCAGCTACTCGGGAGGCTGAGGCAGGAGAATCACTTGAATCTGTGAGGCAGAGGTTGCAGTGAGCCAAGGTCATGCCACTGCACTCCAGCCTGGGTGACAGAGCAAGACTCTGTCTCAAAAAAGGAAAACAAAAAACAAAACAAAACAAAAAAACATTTAAAATTACCAAGCTAGCAGATAGACTAAATGAAAGGTTGAGCAGGGTTAAAAGTGAATTGATGACCTAGAAGATTTTATTGACGTATTCTCTCAGGCTATAGCATAAAATAAGAACAGATGGACACTATTACATGGAAGGTAAGCATCATGGACGTAATCCTTTAAAAGGAATACCAGAGAGGATGGAGTAGGGAGAAGTAATGACATAAAGATCACAGAATTTCCTAGAACATATTAAGAATCTCACTGAGTCCTGAGAAGAATAAAAATAAGCAAAAAAAACTCCACACCTAAATAGGGGGTAGTTAAGAATAAAGAGAAAATCCTAAAAGCTGTCAGAGAAAATCTGGCAGATTACCTACCAAAGCATGAGAGTGAGACTGACATCAGCCACGGGGCCTGTAAGAAGATAATTTAGTGGCGCCATCAAAGTGCTGAGAAAAATATCTTTGATCTTAGAATTTTATTCTCAATCTCCCAGTCAATATTAAGAGTAAAATAAAGACATTTTGGATCTTCTAAGAGTAAGACACATTAGGACCTACAAACTCTCTCTGAAGGAATGAATAAAGGACATTCTCCAAGAAGAGAAATGAACCTTGGAAGATATAATGGATTGCAAGAAATCAATGTGTGCAAAGAAATTAGCAGGCTTGGTGTGGTGGCTCACGCCTGTAATCTCGGCACTTTGGGAGGCCAAGGTGGGTGGATTGTTTGAGCTCAGGAGTTCAAGACCAGCCTGGGCAACTTAGACTCGCCATTTCTATGAAAAAAAAAAAAAAAAAAAGGCATAGGGCCAGGTATGGTGGCTCACGCCTGTAATCCCAACACATTGGGAGGCCAAGGTGGGTAGATCACCTGAGGAGTTCGAGACCAGCCTGGCCAACATGGTGAAACCCTGTCTCCACTAAAAATACAAAAATTAGCTAGGCGTGTTGGCACATGCCTGTAATCCCAGCTACTTGGGAGGCTGAGGCAAGAGAATTGCTTGAACCCGGGAGGCGGAAGTTGCAGTGAGCCAAGATCGCGCCATTGCACTCCAGCCTGGGCGACAAGAGTGAGACTGTGTCAAAAAAAAAAAAAAAAAGACATTAGGCCGGGTGTGGTGGCTCACACCTGCAATCCCAGCACTTTGGGAGGCTGAGGCAGGTAGATCACCTGAGGTTAGAAGCTCAAGATCAGCCAGGCCAACATGGTGAAATCACGTCTCTACAAAAATAGAAAAATTAGCCAGGCGTGATGGTGGTGGGCACCTGTAATCCCAGCTACTCAGGAGGCTGAGTCAGGAGAATCGCTTGAACCCTTGAGGCTGAGGTTGCAGTGAGCTGAGATCAGGCCACTGCACTCCAGCCTGGGCAACAGAGCAATACTCCAGTGTCAAAAAAAAAAAAAAAAAAAAAGGACATTAGCAAAAGTTATTTGTCTAAGTAAATATGGATTGTGAATTGTTTTGACATTTTAAAATTATAATCTGTAGCTAGAAGGAAACAGGGACTTAGAACAAAAGTAGCTCTCTCAGAGCCAAAGCTTTTAACCACTTGTTTTTCGGTTTTTTGCTTGTTTGTTTTTGTTTTTTTGAGAGCCTCATTCTGTTACCCAGGCTGGAGTGCAATGATGCGATCTCGGCTCACTGCAACCTCCACCTCACGGGCTCAAGTCGATCCTCCCACCTCCACTTCCCAAGCAACCAGAACTACAGGTGTGTGCCACCATGCCCGGCGACCTTTGTATTTTTAGTAGAGGCTTGGTTTCACCATGTTGCCCAGGCTGGTCTCGAACTCCTGAGCTCAAGTGATCTGCCCACCTCGGGCTCCCAAAGTGCTTGGATTACAGGCGTGAGCCGTGGTGCCAGACCTTAACCACTTGTTTTGTAGAACTGGTTCCTCAGTGTCTAGCACAGGGCCTAGCACAAACCAAGTGCTTTGCAACCACTTGCCGAAAGAAGGAATGAACGGACCGATGAACGGTGCTATCAGCATGCAGCGTTTCCAGAATATTGCCATTTTCACAGAGGAGTGAGATTTGCCACCTCTGTGAGTCCACTGAGGTCCCTGTAGCCATGAGCGGGGACACGGGCAGCCAGGAGTGCTGTGCTGCAGACTCTTCTAGAAACAAGTTTGGATTGTGCTCCTTCCAAGGGCTTCTGGGAAAAATGCCTCTCTGCTGGCAGCTCTGCCCTTCCGCCTAAGGCCAAGAACCCTCTGAACAAATAGCAGCTTAGTGAGAGGGCAGGAGGGGACAGCCACATGTCTGGAGAGCATACACTTCCTGTTCACTGAGTGCCACGTGGGACTTTTTTCTACTTATTCCAGAGCCGGTCTAGATTCTTGAGCAAACAAATAGACCACCCCTGTGTGCAAGCCCACTTCTCGACCTGTGGGAGAAACCCCAGTAATGAGTGAAAAGTCTACGTTGCAATATTTCCTGACCCCGTTTAATTCTGACACTCCAAGCCTGAGCTTTCGCAAATACATAGTGACTTAGAAACTAGAGGATGCTCTTAAATGCCATTTATTCCAGATGCAGAGACGCGTTTCAATGCAAGGCACAAAAAATGAAGTTACTCAGCTTTTTCTAATGTTGGGGTGAAATATGGCCGCAGGGAGGGCAAACTCCACTCATTATTTCCCAGGGAGAAATCATGATATTTTAGAAAGGGTGGGGAGAAGTCTTGAACACCACAACTAATATCTAACACAACAATTGAGTTTCCAGAAAAGTTCAAAACCAAGGGCAAGACAAATAGGAGATGTGACTTGGCTTGGACACAGACTGCCAGTGTGAACGGCCATGGCACCTACCTTTCGGGAGAGAACTCCCTTTTCTAATCTATTGAGACCATTGAGACTCCATCTTTAAGGTTCTTTCTAGTCCTAAAGTTGTACAATTTGCCATATTTTGGCTGCAATAATTTCCTAGTCTCCTCTGGCCATTTCTATTCATTTACTCACTTTTAATTAAATGAGTGTTACCTGAATTCACCCTTGTAGGAATTGTATATAGTTGCATTGCTACTTTTCCAACCACATTCCTGCATCAACCAGCCACCAGTGCTCTCAATTCCTGCACAGCCACCAAACAGCCAACAAATATTTATCAAGTTCCTCACATGAGCCAATCGATGTTGGACAGTAAAGAAAGCAAACAGACCCTGCATCCAAGGAACTTGTATTTCACTGGGGGAAAACAAACTAAATGTGTAAACACATACATACGTAGAATAATTCCAGGTATTAGTAAACACTAGGAAGATGTGGATGGTGAAAACAGCCACGGTGACGAACCAGAGGAAAAATCTTCTAAGCATAGCAATGGCAACCACACAAGTCCCGAGACAGGAAACAGCCTGGCACCTCTGAGGAAGGAGGGGACTGCAAAGTGGCTGGGGCACAGTACATGAGGGAGAAAGTGTAGGGAGAAGGGGTGAGTGCCCTGATCATGCGGGCCTTTGAATTTTATTCTGAGGACTTTGGTCTAAGTGTAATGGTACCACTGCATGGTCTTAAGGCGGGGACTTGATGTGAGCTGACATATTTCCGAAAGATCACTCTGTCTGCTGTGTAGAGGGGTGGGCTGGAGAACAGGGGGACTATGCAGTCACCTTAAGAAAAGTTCTTGGCTGCCTGGGCTAATGTTAGCATTGGAGAGGGTGAGAAGTGATTTGGGACACACAGCATGCAAAGGCTGCTGAGGGCAGCTGCAGAAACTCACGGGGTTGCTGTCATTCTCCACTAAATTCTCGGTAATGCTGGCATGTTTTCTCCTGTCGTTGCTCAGGACACTCTCAGCACATTCTCCCTTAAAGCCTTCTACCCTGCCTCTTCCCTCTTCCCTCCAGACGTTAGCTTGCAGCTTCTGTAGAGTAAAAGGATGCCACCCACCTGCGGGATCGCGCTCCACTTCGTGCCCCACGCATACATGTCTGGGAACCCCGATTCCATGTTTTCAGGCTCCGAGGAAGTCCCTGGGAGGCTTCTCTCTAACCCCCACCCCAGGTCCTTCTGCTGACATCCTCTGAGCCGCTGCTCCTCCAACAGGCCTTCTCTTCCACACGCGCCACTTCCTGAACTCTGTTGATTCCTTCACCGCGTCTTAGGAACTTGCCCAAGTCTCTCCCAAATCCAAAAACCAACTGCCACTTCCTGCACGTCCTGCCCTCCCTTCGTTCCCTCCTAGCTGTCTCCACGCCGTTGCCTCTCATTCACTCCTTGGTTGGTCCTCGCTGCAGCCATTCCTCTAAATCCTCAGCTGCAACCTTCTAATAAATGGACACACATGACTTTTCCTCTCCTCTTCTTTCAGCTCCCCGGCGAGGTAGCCCCCTCGCCCAAAGAAGGGCTGCGCTCACTTTGGGGCCCCTGTGCACCTCTGGCTTGCCTGGAGCCAGCTGGCTGCCACTCTCAAGCTCTGCCCACTTCACCTGCGCCGCTGTTCCCAGGATCCTGGGCTGGCTTCTTGATATTCTCACTTGGTGGGGTTTTTGTGAGTAATGTTCTCTGGGATCAGGGCTTCAGCTACCAGGTCACCAATGACTCAGACCCCACCTCAGGTCTACCTAAATGGCTCCCTCTCCTCTCCTCTAGTCTCCTCCTTTTTGCATGGCTACCGTTTCATTCAAGCCTTCCTGTTTTCTTCCCTGGACTACCGTGGTAGCCACCACGTTGATCACACTGTCTACAATTTTTTTTTTTTTTTGAGATGGAGCCTCATTTTGACGCCAGGCTGGAGTGCAGTGGCACGATCTTGGCTCACTGCAACCTCCTCCTCCCGGGTTCAAGTGATTCTCCTGCCTCAGCCTCCTGAGTAGCTGGGACTACAGGTGTGCACCACCACGCCCAGCTAATTTTTGTATTTTTAGTAGAGACGGGGTTTCACTATGTTGGGCAGGCTGGTCTCGAACTCCTGACCTTGTGATCTGCCCGCCTCGGCCTCCCAAAGTGCTGGGATTCCAGGTGTGAGTCACCGTGCCTGTTTTTTTTTTTTTTTTTTTTTTTTTTTGGACAGAGTTTCTCTCTTGTCGCCCAGGCTGGAGTGCAATGGCACACACTCGGCTCACAGCAACCTCCGCTTCCCGGGTTCAGGCAATTCTCCCGTCTCAGCCTCCCCAGTAGGGGA
Organism: Homo sapiens; assembly: GCF_000001405.40. NCBI lineage: Eukaryota > Metazoa > Chordata > Mammalia > Primates > Hominidae > Homo > Homo sapiens. The sequence goes on from NC_000007.14 coordinate 152,566,823, forward strand.
TTACAGGCATGCGCCACCATGCCAAGCTAATTTTTGTATTTTTAGTAGAGACAGGGTTTCACCATGTTGGCCAGGCTAGTCTCGAACTCCTGACCTCAGGTGATTCACCCGCCTTGGCCTCCCAAAATGCTGGGATTACAGGCGTGAGCCACCTCGCCTGGCCTACAGTTGTTAATCCTTCCAATTCATCCTCTTGAAGCCACTAGAGTAATCTTTTTAACAGTGAAATGCCATGCCATTTCACTTTTTATATCCTTCAGACTGGGTTTAGTAGCTCACGCCTGTAATCTCAGCACCCTGGGAGGCTGAGGCAGGAGGATTGCTTGAGCCAAGGAGTTTGAGACCAACCTGGCAACAAAGTGAGATCCTGTCTCTAACAAAAAACAAAAAGCAAACAAAAAAAAACTTAGCCAGGCTTGGTGGCTCACACGTGTGGTCCCAGCTACTCTGGAGACTGAGCTGGGAGGATCCCTTGACCCCTGGAGGTCGAGGCTGCAGTGAGATGTGATTGTGCCACTGCACAAGAGCCTGGGGGACAGAGCAGGACCCTGTCTCAACACGAAACCAAAAACATCCTTGAATGTCTCCTTCCGCACCTTTAGAGCAGTTGTTTTTCTTTTTTGAGTTTGTTTCACTCTTGTCACCCAGGCTGGAGTGCAATGGCACGCTCTCGGTTCACTGCAACCTCTGCCTCTTCCTAGGTTCTGAAGTTTCTTAGCTAGAATCTTACATCTTTCATCTGGTCTGTCTTACTTTTTTAACCTCATCTCCTGCCATTTTCCACCAAGCACCTGTGCCCACCACCTGCTGGGAATTTTCTGAAAATGCCATGCTTCTCAGAAGCACAGGCTAGATAATTTGCAAGGCTCTTGTTTCAGCTCCCCGGTGAGTTAGTCCCCGTTCTCTGTGAGAAGTACTTTGCTCACTTTCGGGACTTGATGCACCTCTGGCTTCCCGGAGCCCGAAGCCAACTGCGCTGCCACTCTCAAGCTCTGCCCCTTTCACCTGTGCTGCTGTGTCCAGGGTCCTGGGCTTGCTTCTTTGATTCTTGTTAAGAAATCGTTGGCCGGGCGTGGTGGCTCACGCCTGTAATCCCAGCACTTTGGGAGGCCGAGGTGGGTGGATCACAAGGTCAGGAGATCAAGACCATCCTCGCCAACATGGTGAAACCCTACCTCTACTAAAAATACAAAAAATTAGCCGGGCGTGATGGTGGGCACCTGTAATCCCAGCTACTTGGGAGGCTGAGGCAGGAGAATCACTTGAACCCATGAGGTGGAGGTTGCAGTGAGCCGAGATTGCGCCACTGCACTCCAGCCTGGTGACAGAGCAAGACTCTGTCTCAAAAAAAAAAATAAAAAATAAAAAAATCAAGAAGTTTGAGGGTGACAGCAGCAGCAGCACTTTGAAGGGAGCACAGGCGCTCCGAGTGTCAGACTCTGTGACTGCATAGGTCATGTGCCCACGAAGCCACTTTACTTCTTTCTAAACTGTTTGCCATGCTGGAGATGACCTTTCCTATGTTGCCTGCCTGGCGAACTTTTAGTTATACTTCTAGACCAGTGTAGGTAGCTCTTCACCTTTTGAGGTGGTCACTAACCCTTTAAGAATATGTTGGGGCTGGGTGCAGTGGCTCATGAGTGTAGTCCCAACACTTTGGGCGGTTGAGGCAGCTGGATCGCTTGAGCCCAGGAGTTCAAGACCAGCCTGGGCAAAACCTTGTTTCTACAAAAAAATACACAAAAAAATTAGCTGGGCATGGTGGCACCCGCGTGTAGTCCCAGCTACTTGGGAGGCTGAAGTTGGAGGATCGCTTGAGCCCAGGAGGTTGAGAGCCAATATCGCACCACTGTACTCCAGCCTGGTGACAGAGTGAGACACTGTCTCAAAAAACAAACGAACAAAAAAAAGTATGTTGGAAAGTACAGGCCGTCCGTATGCATACAACTTAAGGTTTGGAGCACAACTGAAGAGACCTCATATGCTCTCTGATGCCCATCACCTGAACCTATAGAGGCTCTCTGACTTGAGATTCAGTTCAAATGTCACCCTCTCTATTAAGCTTTTCTGGCCCCTGCTGGGCAGGAGAAAGCACTCCTTCCCCTGTAGGGCCTCATCCACCCCTTTGTTGTTATAATAATCATAATAAATTATAGATAACGGTTACCATTTCCAGAGGGCCCACCATCTGTCAGACACATTTCAGAACTTACTGTAACTTGGCCTGTTAGGCATTTTATCCCCATCTTCACAGATGAGGACCTGAGGTTCAGAGTTTAAGGACCAGAGCTCAAGAAAAGGGGCGGGGCCCCCAAGGACTGCAGAGTGCCCCTCATGGCCGTGGCGCCCCGCCCTCTAGTCACCTGTCCTGCTAGAGTGACTGATCTCATAGCCTGTGCCCTGGGAAGGTGCAAAGATTGTGCCGTGTTCATTTCTGCACTCCCAGTGCCTTTCCAGAAGATGGTTGCTACTAAATGAATGATGTTGGATGAATAAATACTTGACTTTACCCACAGGCCTTTTTTTTGTTTTGTTTTGTTTTTTTTGGGACACGATTTTGTTCTGTTGCCAAGGCTGGAGTGCAGTGGTGCAATCTCAGCAACTTCCACCTCCTGGGTTCAAGCGATTGTCTTGCCTTAACCTCCCAAGTAGTTGGGATTACAGGTGTGTACCACCACGCCCAGATTTTTGTATTTGTATTTTAATTTTTAAAGATTTATTTTATTTTAAAAAATTATTATTTATTTATTTTAATTAATTAATTTATTTTTTGAGATGGAGTCTTGCTCTGTCGCCCAGGCTGGAGTGCAGTGGTTCGATCTTGGCTTATTCCAACCTCCGCCTCCAGGTGTGAGCCACCGTGCCCGGCTACCACAGCTCTTTTTATAGTCCTAGATCAGTCAGTGCTGGGCATCCACCAACGATGACTGGAGAAACCAGAATGTGACTTCCACAAAAGATGCCACATCCTTATATCTGGGCTCTGAGATTCTCTTAGACTTCAGCCACCACCAAGTGACTGCCCACAGATAGCTACGAGTCGAACTACATTAACCAAACTCCGAGGTTACCAGGCCGGAGTATTTCTTTCTCTTCCCTAGAGCATCTTCCTCTTGACCATGGGTTTGCCAGCTCTTCTGTTTTTTTCTCAGGCATTTCTGGTAAGATGGTGGTGGTTTTCTTTTTTTTTTTCTTTTTTGTAGAGAACGGGGTCTCGCTGTGCTGCTCAGACAGGTCTCAAACTCCTAGGCTCCAGCAATCCTCCCGTCTCTGCCTCCCTAAGTGTTGGGATTACAGGAGTGAGCCAATGCACCTGGCTTCTAATGAAGTTTTAAAAATAAGCAAACATGCTGGGCGCGGCGGCTCACGCCTGTAATCCCAGCACTTTTGGAGGCTGAGGCAGGCGGATCACGAGGTCAGGAGATCGAGACCATCCTGGCTAACACGGTGAAACCCCATCTCTGCTAAAAATATAAAAAATTAGCCGGGCGTGGTGGCGGGCGCCTGTAGTCCCAGCTACTCGGGAGGCTGAGACAGGAGAATTGCTTGAACCTGGGAGGCAGAGGTTGCAGTTAGCCAAGATCACGCCACTGCACGCCAGCCTGGGCAACAGAGTGAGACTCCATCTCAAAAAAAGAAAAGAAAAAAAAAAGCAAACACAAATTCTAATCACTTTGGGTGAATATTTGCCCTATAAAGATTACTGTGATCTGGGGTTTAGGTTCCTAAATGTCTTGATATTCAGGTTTAAATGACTTAATATTTGGATTCTTGCTGATTTTTTTTCTGTTTTTATCTGAATGCCTAGTTACAGGGGTGTCCAATCTTTTGGCTTCCCCAGGCCGCACTGGAAGAAGAAAACTGTCTTGGGCCACATATAAAATACACTAACACTAATGATAGCTTATGAGCTAAAAAAGAAAAAAAATCCCAGAAAAACTCATAGTGTTTTAAGAAAGTTGATGAATTTGTGTTGGGCCGCATTCAAAGCATGTCTGCAGCCTGAGGGCCGTGGGTTGGACAGCTTGGCCTAGTAAGTATATAAACTGTACTACGGATGGAATTAGAAATGATTGTGTTTTTCAGCTTTGGAATATTCATTGAGCTGCTGATTAGAATATCTGATCTCTAATTGGTGTAGCTGACTCTAGAGTATCTGATCTCTAATTGGTGTAGCTGACTCTGATGTATCCATCCATGGCACTAAGATTCAGGAAGAGAACGGACATAAAACACTCAAATGTTTGTGAAACCAGTGATTTCATTCTTCTCCTTCCCAGACTTGAAAACCCACCCCTCCTGTGGAGTTTTCCTAGCTGGCACGGCTGAGCAAGGTTTCCCCTGGGAGCTGCTGAGTTTTCCTAGCTGGCACGGCTGAGCAAGGTTTCCCCTGGGAGCTGCTGGGAGTCTCAGGCAGCAGCTGGGGTTCCAGGCCTGACTCCGCTTCAGAGACCCTCTGTTTCAGGTCCGCTGGTCTTCAGCCACTGCAGGGAGCTGCTCTGCCTGTTTCAGTGTGTTCCAGGACAGACTTGCAGAGGTGAAGAGGACTGAGCTATGGGCAGTAGAAGGGTCAGCGCTTAATGCACGATCCTGCTTTTTCTGTTTCAGAAGCTGCACCCACTGTAGTCAGCAACAGCCAGCTCAAGACCAAGACAGTCGATTTTTTGGTTTTTTGTTTGTTGGTTTTTGAGACAGATTCTCACTCTGTCACCCAGGCTGGAGTGTAGTGGTGCAATCTCGGCTCATTATAACCTCTGCCTCCTGGGTTCTAGTGATTCTCCTGCCTCAGCCTCACAGGTACCCACCACTACACCTGGCTAATTTTTGTATTTTTAGTAGAGTCGGGGTTTCAGCCTGGCGTGGTGGCTCATGCCTATAAACCCAGCACTTTGGGAGGCCGAGGTGGGTGGATCATGAGGTCGGGAGATCGAGACCATCCTGGCTGATACGGGGAAACCCCGTCTCTACTAAAAATACAAAAATATTAGCTGGGAGCGGTGGCGGGCGCTTGTAGTCCCAGCTACTCTGGAGGCTGAGGCAGGAGAATGGCGTGAACCCGGGAGGCAGAGCGTGCAGTGAGCCGAGATCGCACCACTGCACTCCAGCCTGGGCAACAGAGCGAGACTCTGTCTCAGGGTGGGGGGAAAAAGGTAGAGATGGGGTCTCACCATGTTGGCCAGGCTGGTCTCGAACTCCTGACCTCAGGTGATCTGCCTGCCTCAGCCTCCCAAAGTGCTGGGATTACAGGCGTGAGCCATGGCGCCCGGCCCCAGTTGATTCTTTTAAGCAGCTGCTAAGGAAAAAATTAGATTGTAGGTAAAAATAGATTGTAGGTGGGTGCCTTTTGGGAACTTTTTGTTATTGTTGTTAATGACATTAATAGACTTTTCTTAGGTTTTATGTAGTGTCACAAATGACACAATAGCGAGAATAAAAAGCTCCAGTTTCTTTGGGAGTTTACCACATTCCACATTCCACGTACTGTGCCAAGGCTTTCAACACGCATTTTCTTATTCTCGTAGTAACCCTATGAGATGGGTTTTAGATTTTCATATCTATATTTTATGAAGCAGGAAACCAAAGCACAAAGTTAAGTAATTTATTCAAAGTCATGTGATTAGCAAGGGGCACAGCTGGGACTGGAACTCACTCAATTTGGTCTCAAAGCCGGTCTTCCCCGCCATAATGACCTACTGTCTCTTAGTTGTAGAAAAACCACCTCCCTCCAGACTGACGCGCCCACCTCCCGCTTTCCTCCTCCCCATTACGTCCATTCTATAGACCAAGACCAGATTAAAATTTCCTGAAATACTACTTTAATCCTTCCACTGCCTACTCGAAACGTTCCTCTTACCTAGAGAAGCAGGATCATGTTCTCATTCCTTCTTCTGATAATCAGTTGTCCTCATCTTGCAGAATATCCCTTCCATAACTTCTCCAGCCTGCGGAGCATAAGAAATCTGGAGCTGGCCCAGCATGGTGGTGCACACCTGTAGTCCCTGCTAATCAGGAGGCTGAGGTGGAGGATGGCTTGAGCTCAGGAGTTTTAAGTTGCAGTGAGCTATGAACGCACCAGTCCGCTCCAGCCTAGGTGACAGAACGAGGACCCCAACTCAGAAAGCAAACAAACAAAGGAAATTCAGAGCTGCCTGGCATGGTGGCATGTGCCTGTAATCCTAGCTACTTGGGAGGGTGAAGTAGGAGAATCACTTGAACCTGAGAGGCGGAGGTTGCAGTGAGCTGGGATTGCACCACTGCACTCCAGCCTGGGTGACAGAGCGAGACTGTCTCAAAAAAAAAAAAAAAAAAAAAGAAAGAAAAAAGAAATCCAGAGCTAAAATTAGGAGGGGAAGGATGTAAACTTTGAACCTATATAAAACTGTAGGAATATTTTGTACTGTCATTAAAATAAGACACTAAAGAAAGCATTTTATTTTTATTTTTTATTTTTTTTGAGTTGGAGGCTTGCTCTATTGCCCAGGCTGGAGTGCAGTGGCTCAATCTCGGCTCACTGCAACCTCCACTTCCCGGGTTCAAGTGATTCTCCTGCCTCAGCCTCCCGAGTAGCTGGAGTAGCTGGGACTACAGGCACATGCCACAACGGCCGGCTAATTTTTGTGTTTTTAGTAGAGATGGGGTTTCACCATGTTAGCCAGGCTGGTCTCGAACTCCTGATCTCAGGTGATCTGCCCTCCTAGGACTCCAAAAGTACTGGAATTACAAGTGTGAGCCACCATGCCAGACCTAAAGGAAACATTTTAAATAAATAATATATCAGTGACATTTTCTACTTCTTAAAATTACTAATGGTGGCTAATGCACAATTAACTTCTCTTTACCATCTGTTGCTTGCTTGCTAAAAACTTTAGTATGTCTTTCCAAGGAAATTTTAATCAGGGGCTTAAAAAAAAAAAAAAGAAAAAGATTTATTTTTTCCAGGTGTGTATATTAAATTTTTTCTTGTATGATTCTCTATTCACTGTTTCAAGTTGTTTTGATAGTAAAATGTATTTGAAGAGCCTCACAATTTGAACACTTGTTTTAAATCCTGTTGAACGAAAGGTATGAGGAAGTACGTCAATGCATTTTTCATTTGCTATGTTATGGTTCAACCAGTTTTCTCTGATTGTTACTAAATTCTCTTTCCAATAATATATTGATTCTCCTCTGTGTTTACTAAACATTTTTTTTTCTAATTTTTTTTTTTGTTTTTGAGACAGAGTCTCGCTCTGTCACCCAAGCTGGAGTGCAGTAGCGCAATCTCGGCTCACTGCCGCCTCTACCTCCTGGTTCAAAGCGATTCTCCTGCCTCAGTCTCCCAAGTAGCTGGGATTACAGGCGTGCGCCCCCATGCTCAGCTAATTTTTGTATTTTTAGCAGAGATGGTGTTTCACCATGTTGGCCAGGATGGTCTTGATCTCTTGACCTCATGATCCACCCTCCTCGGCCTCCCAAAGTGCTGAGATGACAGGCATGAGCCACCACGCCCAGCCTTTTTTTGGTTTTTTAAAATTTTATTTATTTTTATTTGAGATGGAGTCTCACTCTGTCACCCAGACTGGAGTGCAGTGGCATGATCTCAGCTCACTGCAACCTCCACCTCCTGGTAAACATCATTTTTGTAAAGCTACAGAAAAATTATGGTGAGAACAAATGCTGTCATATCTGTTTTGTGTGTGTGTGGGAGAGGGGTAGCTTTTAATTTTTTTTTTTTTTTTTTGTCTGTGTTGAAGGTGAAGGGGAGAGATCATGACATGTTTTACCTGACAAGGGGGTACTGAGCCCTGTCTATCCACTCCATCCCTACCGCATACCCTGGCTGAGACAGGAACCTTCCCAAGCAGCACTCCCAAGGAGAGTAGCCATCACTTGGTCCTTGCTGGACATGAGCATTCCTGCATCAGGGAGAAGGCAAACCTCATCCCACATTTCCTTCTTATCCCAAAGTGCTACGATCTGGTCCTTGCTGGCCATTACGGCAAGTAATCACAGCCAGGTCATTTGCTTACTTAGACCTCAGTTTCCTTGTCTGTAAAATTAGCATGTTTGTTCATGTTATCTCAGAGGGCTTTTAGAGCTCTAAAAGCAGAAGCCACAGAAAGCCTGAGAGGAGCACAGGTGAAGGCTCTGGGTGTGGGTGGCTTTGCTTCTTCCATTAGGTCCTCTTCCCGCAGGTACTTTCCAGAGTGCCTGTAATTAACACAGTGGGAGAGCAGAACCGCCATAAACCCTGTTCAAGCAGGAAGGGAATGGAAGGTCGAGGCGCCCGGACTGCAGCCGCAGCTGTGCTTGGGGCTGATCGGCCTTGGCTTCGCCCCTCCTGGCAGCTGGGGACTGCTGTGGGTTTTGCATGGTTCACAGAATAAAGTGCAAATGGGGTCCTGTCATTTTTTATTACTCAGAGCCGCTTTCACTAAACCTGAAAGCTTATCTCTTGGTCGATGAAAAGTCTTTGTACTGTGGACCCCAGAGTCTGGACTTCCCCTCACTAAGCAGCTGTGTGACCTGGGGCAAATCAACCTCTGGGCCTCACTTAATGGTTATATGATTCACTGTCACCTGAGCCAAGTTGAAAAATAGTCTTAGACACGTAAGCACCACCCATAAGCACCACCCATTGTCCGCAGAATCGTCCTCGGACCACCCACCCACATCTGCCCTGGGGGGTTTAAATGCCCCTCCCAGACTCCAGCCTCTTACAGGCTGGGTCACGCTGCCCTGGGGAAGTCTATCTGGCTCCTTACAATAGGGAGAGCAAATCCCTGCTACACCTACCTGAAGCCCAGGACAAACCCCTTTCTGCAACTACCGAGAACCCATCAAAGTTTAATTTCAGTCACAATAACCTCAAACAGACTCTCAGCATCTCCCTGCACCACTCCTGCTCTGACAAAAAGAAAAAAAGAGGCCAGGCACGGTGCCTCATGCCTGTAATCCCAGCACTTTGGGAGGCTGAGGCAGGTGGATCGCCTGAAGTCAGGAGTTCAAGACCAGCCTAACCAACATGGCAAGACCCGCCTGGCCAACATGGCAAGACCCTGTCTCTACCAAAACACACAAAAATTACCCGGGAATGGTGGTGTGCACCTCTAGTCCCAGCTACTTGGGAGGCTGAGGCATGAGAATCACTTGAACCCGGGAGGCGGAGGTTGCAGTGAGCCGAGATCGCGCCACCGCACTCCAGCCTGGGCAACAGAGAGAGACCCTGTTTCAAAAAAAAAAAAAAAGAAAAGGAAAAAAAAGGAGAAGAATCGTACTTATGTTCAGCTGCAATTTACTCAGCAGAGTGATTAATCCATTAATTATTCCATTCAGTGAACTATTCGAAAGCATTTGCGAGTGTTTACCATATGCTCTCTTATTGTTGGAGGGTCGGACTATTCGAAAGCATTTGCGAGTGTTTACCATACGCCCTCGTATCGTTGGAGGGTCGGAGCAGCCGGGAGTTGGGAGGCCTGTGATGAAAGAGATCTGAACAGCTGCAGAGACACGTTTGCAAGTGGGCCTGGGGCCCACCTCAGGACTGGGGGCCGGTCGGGCACCCTGCCTCTCACCCCCAAACAACGCAATTCTTTTTTTGTTTTTTTGTTTTTTTGAGACAGTCTTGCTCTGTTGCCCAGCCTGGTGGAGTACAGTGGTGCAATCTCAGTTCACTGCAACCTCCGCCTCCCGGGTTCAAGTGATTCTCCTGCCTCAGCTTCCGGAGTAGCTGGGATTACAGGCACGTGCCACTACGCCCGACTAATTTTTGTATATTTAGTAGAGACGAGGTTTCACCACGTTGGTCAGACTGGTCTCGAACTTCTGACCTCAGGTGATCCGCGTCCTTGGCCTCCCAAAATGCTGGGATTACAGGCGTGAGCACCCGCAATTCTAGGGGGTTCTTAGGCTGTCCCCACCTCCACTGTGACCCTCCAGTTTGTCTTTCTTACAACCAACAGAGTGATCACTTGAAAGTGAGAATCTACCTAAAGCTCTTCCTTGCTTTCCGTACGTTTCTCCTGCCCTTAAGGAAAAAGGGCTTCTACACAGGCGTTGGAGACCCAGCACAGGGGTCTCAGCCAGCTCCCTAGCCGCATCACCCTGCTCCCTGCTTCCTGTGTGTTCTTCTGGCAACCAGACTGTGAGCCATGCCTGCCCGTGCACACTGTGCGGCTCTTCACCGCTATACTGAGGCCCTTCTCCCAACTGCCCCTCCCAAACCACCACCAACAGCAGAAAGCCTGGCTAAGACATCGTTATCCTCCAGGATTTTCCAGTTCTTCAGAAAGCTGCTCCTGCAATCACCCAGTGGTTCTTCCTGCCTGCTGCACAGACAAAACCAATGCCCTGAGACCGTGGCATTACCGCAGAGAGAGTTTAATTGGAGGCCTGGCACTATGCCTCACACCTGTAATCCCAGCAACTGGGGAGGCCAGGGTGGGAGGATTGCTTGAACCCAGATATTTCAGACCAGCCTGGGCAACATAGAGAGCCCCAGTCTCTTAAAAAAAAAAAAAAAAAGGAAAAAAAAATGTTTAGTAGAAGCTGGCCACAGTATGAGGGAGATGGAGCCATCACTCAAATCACTCTCCCCTGAAGTCTCGAACCTTAGGGTTTTTATGGGCAATTATTGGGCAGGGGACTAGGGAATGGATGCTGCTGATTGGTTGGGGATGAGATCACAGGGGTGTGGAAAATAGTCCCTGTGCTGAGTCTGCCTCTGGGTGGGGACATAGGACCACTTGTCATGACTCCCAAGTCCAGGTGGGGTGGGGTCAGTCTGAAAAATATCTCAAAAAACTAACCTTAGGCTTTACAGTAGTGATGTTATCTGGCTGCATGATCCCTGAGCAGTAAGGGATTATGGAAACACCTGTTGGGCAGGGTGGGTGGCTTGTGCCTGTAATCCCAGCACTTTGGGAGGTCAAGGCAGGAAAATCACTTCAGGCCAGCAGTTCAAGATCAGCTTAGAGACAAGATATCATCTCTACAAAAAAACTAAAAAATTTGCTAGGCATGGTAGTGCATACCCATAGTCCTAGCTACTAGGAGGCTGAGGTGGGAGGATCACTTGAGCCCAGGGAGGTCAAGGCTGCAGTGAACTATGATTGTGTCATTGCACTCCAGCCTGGGTGACAGAGCAAGACCCTGTCTCAAAAAAAAGATTCAATACAAATTTTTTTTAAAAGGAAACTACATCTATCTTATGGCCTTTCACTCATCTTACAAAGCCGGTGTCAGCAGCCCAGAACAGGGAAGGGCTTAGTTTTAAGAAGGGATTATTATCACTCTTGCTTCAAGGTTAAGCTATAAACTAAATTTCTCCCAAAGTTAGCCTGGCCCAGGCCCAGAAATGACCAAGGACGCTTGGAAGTCAGAAGCAAGATGGCGTTAACTATGTCAGATTTCTCTTACTCTCATAATTTTGCAAAGGCGGTTTTGCTCTAACCTTATTAACCTACTTTCTTTTTCTTTTTTTTTTGAGATGGAGTTTTGGTGTTGTCACCCAGGCTGGAGTACAATGGCGCATTCTTGGCTCACTGCAACCTCCTGCCTCCTGGGTTCAAGCGATTCTCCTGCCTCAGCCTCCCAAGTAGCTGGGATTAAAGGTGCCTACCACCACGCCCAGCTAATTTTTTGTATTTTTAGTAGAGATGGGTTTTCACCATGTTGGTCAGGCTGGTCTTGAACTCCTGACCTCAGGTGATCCACCCGCCTCCGCCTCCCAGAATGCTGGGATTACAGGCATGAGCTACTGCGCCTGGCCTATTAACCCACTTTCTACACATCTCTACTCCCTCACCCTACTGCATGACAATTATCTGCTTATTTTAGTGTCTCTTCCACTCCTTGCAGCCTAGAAGGCTGTCCTTATTTGAAACTCCAGTGCCAGGCATGGATAGGTTTGAATTAAAGTAAGCCCTCAATATCTATTGGTTGACTGAATTAATTTGGGATGTGTAATTACACGTCGTGCCTATAATGATTTTTGGTTTGGAGAGGCCAAGGCAACAGTCTGTACTTCTGAATCCAGAAGATAAGAGAAACTAAGATTTTGAGAACATCAGGTGGGTCAGAAAGCCAAGCCAGCCCAGTGCCTGCTTTGCATTTCACCTGGATCTATGTGTCAGGGTGAGAAGATGTTTGTTTGCTTTTAACTGCTTGCAAATCTCTTAAAAAATGTGTATTATTATTGTATACCCAGGCCAGGTTCTTCTCCTTAATTTCTCTGGAATCAGAGTTAGAAAAACTGAAGGACTGTTCCTGGGTGTCTTGTTCTTCATTCAGGAGCAGAGCTGGCAATGTTCTTCCACTGATGCCCGCTCCATGGATTGTTAGGATTAGGTCAAAGATGTATTTGCAATATTTGGCATCACATCTGGCCCATAGCGCGTGCTCAGTAAATGCTGCTCTTCTGATTGTTGTGATTGATGAGGTGTGCTAGCAGTTTTGTTTTGGCTCCTCTCCAGGACGCTGGTCATCCTCGGGATATGAAGCCTGTTCGCCGGGGCGGCCGTTTGCTGGGTTCCCAAAAACTCTCTGTTCTTGGGTGGAGCTCGTAGAGAGAGCTCTACTGTCCCAACAGCTTCATGATGCCACCATCCCTGCTGGGAAGAAGGCTCTTGAGCTTAAGGGACTTGCTAGCTGCTAATGAAGACCATCCAGCCCCGTTCTTTCCAGTGATCTCATTTCACCATCTCAGGCAACAATGCCCAATGCCTTCTGTCTTCATTTTCACTCCTTTTTTTTTTTTTTTTTTTTTTTTGAGACAGAGTCTCGCTCTGCTGTCCAGGCTGGAGTGCAATGGCACAATCTCGGCTCCTGCAACCTCTGCCTCCTGGGTTCAAGCGATTTTCCTGCCTCAGCCTTCTGAGTAGCTGGGATTACAGGCACCCACCATCATGCCCAGCTAATTTTTTGTATTTTTAATAGAGACAGGGTTTCACTGTGTTGGCCAGGCTGCTCTCGAACTCCTGACCGAGACAGGGTCTCACTCTGTCATCCAGACTGGAGTGCACTGGCACAATCACAGCTGAGTACATGCTTGACCTCCTGAGGCTCCTACCTCAGCCTCCTGAGTAGCTGGGACTGCAGGCACGCACCACCATACCCAGCTAATTTTTCGTATTCTTTGTTGAGATGGGTGTTTTGCCATGTTGGCCAGGCTGGTCTGGAACTCCTGACCTCGAATGATTCGCCCACCTCGGCCTCCCAAAGCGCTGAGATTACAGCTGTGAGCCGCTTTGCCCAGCCATTCACTCTATTTTGGATATTCAAATCTATCCTCACTGATGTCTTTAAAATCTCAGTGTAGCCACTTGGGTATCTGTTTTGTGTGCTTTTTCCTGTTCACGAATGTCCCAGACAAATGCCAGGGTGATTAGGCTGCTCTCTGCCTCTCCACGTTCTACATGGATGTGCATGGGGGTCAGGGTGGAGGAAGAGCCACAATTCAGGGGATAGACTGTGTGGATATCACTTCATTTCCCCCTTTTTCACTAGGGGGAACATGTACATGGGTTATATGTACTACATGTTAAAATGTACATAAAAGGAGGCAAAATTGTAAAAGAACAATTCAGCTTGACAGGCATATGTGGAAAGAAAGTAGGAGCGGTGCTGCCCTTTTATTTTGGGGACAGTGCAAATATTATGGACTGATTTTTTTTTATTTTTTGAGACGGAGTTTCGCTTTTGTTGCCCAGGCTGGAGTGCAATGGCACGATCTTGGCTCACCACAACCTCCGCCTCCCGGGTTCAAGCGATTCTCCTGCTTCAGCCTCCCTAGTAGCTGGGATTACAGGTATGTGCCACCACAACCAGCTAATTTTGTATTTTTTTTTAGTAGAGATGGGGTTTCTCCATGTTAGGCAGGCTGGTCTCGAACTCCTGACCTCAGGTGATCCACTGCCTCGGCCTCCCAAAGTACTGGGATGACAAGCATGCGCCACCGTGTCTGGCCATGGACTGATTTTCTGTAGAAGAGGTTATTTTTATGTATTTATTTTCGAGACAGAGTCTCGCTCTGTCGCCCAGGCTGGAGTGCAGTGGCGCGATCTCCGCTCACTGCAAGTTCCACCTCCTGGGTTCACACCATTCTCCTGCCTCAGCCTCCTGAGCAGCTGGGACCAGAGGTGCCCGCCACCATGCCCGGCTAATTTTTTGTATTTTTAGTAGAGACGGGGTTTCACCATGTTAGCCAGGATGGTCTCGATCTCCTGATCTCGTGATCCGCCCGCCTCAGCCTCCCAGAATGCTGGGATTACAGGCGTGAGCCACTGCTCCCGGCCAGTTATTTTTTTTTTAAACCCAGCTGAGCCCATTCTTTACCCTTGTGAACTGGTATCATTAGCCATTTCCCAGCGTGGGGAGTCCAGGAAGCCTCCCAAGCTTGGGACCTGGGCCTCATCCTGCTGCTCCACCCACAAGCCTCCCCAACAATCTGCATTCGGACAGTGGTGGTAGCATCCTCAGGGGACTCCCTGAAATTGACTTACAGTCTTGGCGGAAAACAGCCTTCTTCGATCAAGGAAGATTGTTCTCTGTAGATGAGTGCTCAGGAGAGTTTCTGTGCCCCATCAGCAAGGTCAGCTAAATACATCCATCCAGTGAAAGACAGGTGGCAGCTGAGCTTGTGCTCAGGCCTTCCATGGAAGCAGAAGTGCCCTGTCCTAGAGAATCATGCCAAAAATACTGCATGCTTGCGGGCAGGGGCTGGGGGAGCAGTGTGAATCTAGCCTCAAAGGTGAGAAATAGTCATGGCATTGGTATAGGGCTGTCAACTCACATTCAGGTTAAAATTCCAAAGCAAGTCCCCCAAAAAGTGCCTAGGTTGAAATGGCAACTGGAATTGCTTAGAATCCTACCATTCCAGTAGGTTTTATATAAAAATAGCTTTACTGAGATACAGTTGATAGACAATAAATTACATGTACTTAAAGGGTACAATTGGATACATTTTGACATATGCATATACTCATGAAACTGTCAACACCACCAAGATAATGAACACTCCCAGAAGTTCATCACTCCCAGAAGTTTCCCTGTGGCCTTTTGTAATCTGTCCCTCCTGCCTTTTCCCACCTCCATCCCACCACCACGCTCTCAGCCGTGTCCCCAAGGGGTATATATATATATATATATATATAAAGCTGGGATTACAGGCGCCCACCACCATGCCTGGCTAATTTTTGTATTTTTAGTAGAGACGCGGTTTCACCATGCTGGCCAGACTGGTCTCGAACTCCTGACCTTATCATCTGCCTGCCTCGGCCTCCCAAAGTGCTGGGATTACAGGCGTGAGCCACTGCACCCAGCCCCCCACATGCTCTTATAGGTCCGTTGGTATTTGCTAGAAGTTTGTATAAATATAACCATACAGTATGGATTCTCTTACTTTTTTTTCCCCACATAACAGTTATTTTGAAATTCATCCATACTGTTGCCTGAATTTCATGGTAGGAATGTACTAGTTTACCCGTCACCTGGTGAAGGCCATTTGGGTTATTTCCAAATTGTGGCACTTTTGAGGAGAGTGGCTGTGAACATTTGTATACAAGTCTTCGTATGTCCATGTTTTAATTTCTCTTGAGTTGATGGTACATCTACTCAGTGTATGTTTAACTTAGAAAAACCCACCCAGCCAGGCGCGGTGGCTCACGCCTGTAATCCCAGCACTTTGGGAGGCCGAGGCGGATGGATCACGGGTCAGGAGATCGAGACCATCCTGGCCAACATGGGGGAATGAAACCCCGTCTCTACTAAAAATACAAAAAATTAGCTGGGTGTGGTGGCAGGCCTTCACCCAGCTTCTTGGGAGGCTGAGGCAGAAGAATTGCTTGAACCCGGGAGGCAGAGGTTGCAGTGAGCCTGGGCAACAGAGTGAGACTCCATCTCAAAAAACAAAAAAAAAAAAACAAAAAAACCCCACCTACCTGACTTCCAAAGTGGTTGTTATATTTTACATTGCCAACAGCAGTGTATGAGAATTCCAGTTCTCTAATAGCCTCATTAATGCTTCATACAATCAGTCTTTAAGCCATTCTATAAATGTACGGTGGTATCTCATTGTGGGTTTAATTTGTGTTTCCCTAACGGCCAACGACTTGAACATCTTTTCATGTGCTATTTGCCATTCATCTATGTTCTTTGGTGAAGTGTCTGTCCAAATCTTGTAGCTTTTTAAAAATTAGGTAGTTTACTTTCATTTTAATTTAATTTAATTTAATTACTTTATTTATTTATTATTGAGACAGAGTCTTGCTCTGTCACCCAGGCTGGAGTGCAGTAGAATGATCTCAGCTCACTGCAACCCCTGCCCCCTGGAGTTAAGCAATCCTCCCACCTCAGCCTCCTGAGTACTTGGGACCACAGGCATGCGCCGCCACACCTGGCTAATTTTTTGTATTTTTTGTAGAGACTGGGTTTCACCATGTTGCCCAGGGTGGCCCTGAGCTCAAATGATCCACCTGCCTCGGCCTCCCACAATGCTGGGATTACAAGTGTGAGCCACCATGCTTGGCCCTCATTCTCTAATATCCCTTTTGAAGGGCAAAAATTGTTAACTTTTTTGAAGTACAACTTATAATTTTTTTTCATTTATGGATTGTAGCTTTGGTTTTCTAAGAAATCTTTGCCTTAAGATCAATATATTTTCTTTTAGAAGTTTTATAGTTTTAGGTTTTACATTTAGAGTTAATTTTTGTGTATGATGTGAGGCAGGGATTTAAATTATTAAAATAATTTTTTTTTTTTTGTAGTTAGAGTTTGGCCATATTGCCCTGGCTGGTCTCAAACTCCTGAGCTCAGACAATCTGCCTACCTTGGCCTCCCAAAGTATTGAGATTACAAGCATGAGCCACTGTGCCAAGCCTTAAATAATTTTTTGCACGTGGATATCTAAGTATTCCAGCACCATCTGTTGAAAAGATGATCCTTTCCCTTAGCTGCCTTTGCATATCTCTTGAAAATCAATTGATGTCCATATATATATATGGGTCTATTGCTGCACTTTTATTCTGTTCTATTGATCTGTTTGTGTGTTTTTAAACCACTATCACATTGCTTTGATTACTGAAGCTTTGTAGTAAGTCTTGTCCTTTGCATTTCCATATGAATTTTAAAATCGGCTTGTCAATTTCTACAAAAAAAAGACTGCTGAAAATTTAAGTGGGATTGTGTGGGATCTAGAAATATTGAGTCTTTTTTTTTTTTTTTTTTTTTTGGGACAGAGTCTTGCTCTGTCACCCAGGCTGGAGTGCAATGGCACAATCTGGGCTCACTGCAACCTCCGCCTCTTGGGTTCAAGCCATTCTTCTGCCTCAGCCTCCTGAGTAGCTGGGATTATAGGCACATGCCACCATGCCCGGCTGATTTTTATATTTTTAATAGAGATGGGGTTTCACTATATTGGCCAGGCTGGTCTTGAACTCCTGACCTTGGGTGATCCACCCACGTCACCCTCCCAAAGTGCTAGGATTACAGGCATGAGCCACTGTGCCTGGCCATTGAGTCTTCTAATTGATGAATAAATATATTTCTTGTCTGGGCATGGTGGCTCATACCTGTAATCCCAGCACTTTGGGAGGCTGAGGCAGGAGGATCACTGGAGGCCAGGAGTTCGAGACCAGCCTAGGCAACACTGTCTCTACAAAAATAAAGGAAAAAATAAAAATAAAAAACTGAATAAAAAATATATATATTTCTCCATTTATTTAGGCCTTTGATTTCTTGCAGCAATGTTCTATTAGTTTTCAGTGTATATCCTTTGTTCATCCTTTGTCAGATTTATGCCTAAGTGTTTCACATGTTTTATTTTTTATTTATTTATTTTTTTTTTTAATTTATTTTTTTTTTTTTTATTGATCATTCTTGGGTGTTTCTCGCAGAGGGGGATTTGGCAGGGTCATAGGACAATAGTGGAGGGAAGGTCAGCAGATAAACAAGTGAACAAAGGTCTCTGGTTTTCCTAGGCAGAGGACCCTGCGGCCTTGGCCTTCCGCAGTGTTTGTGTCCCTGGGTACTTAAGATTAGGGAGTGGTGATGACTCTTAACGAGCATGCTGCCTTCAAGCATCTGTTTAACAAAGCACATCTTGCACCGCCCTTAATCCATTTAACCCTGAGTGTTCACAGCACATGTTTCAGAGAGCACAGGGTTGGGGATAAGGTCACAGATCAACAGGATCCCAAGGCAGAAGAATTTTTCTTAGTACAGAACAAAATGAAAAGTCTCCCATGTCTACTTCTATCCACAGAGACCCGGCAACCATCCGATTTCTCAATTTTTTCCCCACCCTTCCCGCCTTTCTATTCCACAAAACCGCCATTGTCATCATGGCCCATCCCCAATGAGCCGCTGGGCACACCTCCCAGACGGGGTCGTGGCCGGGCAGAGGGGCTCCTCACTTCCCAGTAGGGGCGGCCGGGCAGAAGCGCCCCTCACCTCCCGGATGGGGCGGCTGGCCGGGCGGGGAGCTGACCCCCCCACCACCCTCCCGGACGGGGCGGCTGGCCAGGCAGAGGGGCTCCTCACTTCCCAGTAGGGACGGCCGGGCAGAGGCGCCCCTCACCTCCTGGATAGGGCGGCTGGCTGGGCGGGGGGCTGTCCCCCCCACCTCCCTCCCGGACGGGGCGGCTGGCCGGGCAGAGGGGTCCTCACTTCCCAGTAGGGGCGGCCGGGCAGAGGCGCCCCTCACCTCCCGGACGGGGCGGCCGGCCGGAAGGGGGGCTGACCCCCCCCACCTCCTCCCGGAAGGGGCGGCTGGGCCGAACCCCCCCCCCCCCCGCCTCCCTCCCGGACGGGGTGGCTGGCCGGGCAGAGGGGCTCCTCACTTTCCAGTAGGGGCGGCCGGGCAGAGGCGCCCCTCACCTCCCGGACGGGGCGGCTGGCCGGGCGGGGGGCTGATCCCCCCACCTCCCTCCCGGACGGGGCGGCTGGCCAGGCGGGGGGCTGACCCCCCCCACCTCCCTCCCGGACGGGGCGGCTGGCCGGGCGGGGGGCTGACCCCCCCACCTCCCTCCCAGATGGGGCGGCTGGCCAGGTGGGGGGATGACCCCCCCACCTCCCTCCCGGGCGGGGCGGCTGGCCGGGCAGAGGGGCTCCTCACTTCCCAGTAGGGGCGGCCGGGCAGAGGCGCCCCTCACCTCCCGGATGGGGCGGCTGGCCAGGCGGGGGGCTGATCCCCCCACCTCCCTCCCAGACGGGGCGGCTGGCCGGGCGGGGGGCTGACCCCCCACCTCCCTCCCGGACTGGGCGGCTGGCCGGGCGGGGGGCTGACCCCCCCACCTCCCTCCTGGACGGGGCGTCTGGCCGGGCAGAGGGGCTCCTCACTTCCCAGTAGGGGCGGCCGGGCAGAGGAGCCCCTCACCTCCCGGACGGGGCGGCTGGCCGGGCGGGGGGCTGACCCCCCCACCTCCCTCCCGGACGGGGCGGCTGGCCGACCCCCCCGCCGCCTCCCTCCCGGATGGGGCGCCTGGCCAGGCAGAGGGGCTCCTCACTTCCCAGTAGGGGCGGCCGGGCAGAGGAGCCCCTCACCTCCCGGACGGGGCGGCTGGCCGGGCGGGGGGCTGACCCCCCCCACCTCCCTCCCGGACGGGGTGGCTGCTGGGCGGAGACGCTCCTCACTTCCCAGACGGGGTGGTTGCCGGACGGAGGGGCTCCTCACTTCTCAGACGGGGCGGTTGCCAGGCAGAGGGTTTCCTCACTTCTCAGACGGAGCGGCCGGGCAGAGACGCTCCCCACCTCCCAGACAGGGCTGCGGCCCAGCAGAGGCGCTCCTCACATCCCAGACAGGGCGGCGGGGCAGAGGTGCTCCCCACATCTCAAACGATGGGCGGCCGGGCAGAGACGCTCCTCACTTCCTAGATGGGATGGCGGCGGGGAAGAGGCGCTCCTCGCTTCCCAGATGGGATGGCGGCCGGGCAGAGACGCTCCTCACTTTCCAGACTGGGCAGCCAGGCAGAGGGGCTCCTCACATCCCAGACGATGGGTGGCCAAGCAGAGACGCTCCTCACTTCCCAGACGGGGTGGCGGCCGGGCAGAGGCTGCAATCTCGGCTCTCCGGGAGGCCAAGGCAGGTGGCTGGGAGGTGGTTGCAGCGAGCCAAGATCACGCCACTGCACTCCAGCCTGGGCACCATTGAGCACTGAGTGAACGAGACTCCATCCGCAATCCCGGCACCTCGGGAGGCCGAGGCCGGCGGATCACTCGCGGCTAGGAGCTGGAGACCAGCCCGGCCAACACAGCGAAACCCCGTCTCCACCAAAAAAAAACGAAAACCAGTCAGGCGTGGCGGCGCGCGCCCGCAATCGCAGGCACTCGGCAGGCTGAGGCAGGAGAATCAGGCAGGGAGGCTGCAGTGAGCCGAGATGGCAGCAGTACCGTCCAGCCTCGGCTCGGCATCAGAGGGAGACCCCACATGTTTTAATTCTATTATGTTATTTTTAAAATTTCAAATTCCAATTGTTCATTGTTTGAATGTAGAAATAGTTGTTTTTGTATACTGATATTGAATCCTCCACTCTTGCTAATTAGCCTTTTTGTAGATTCATCAGATTTTCCACACAGCTGATTATGTTATCTGTGAGTAGAGATAGTTTTACTTTTTCCCTTGTTTTATGACTTCCTTACTTTTATTTATTGATTTATTTTTTAGGCCTTATTGCTCCATTGGAGCATCCAGGGCACTGTTGAATAGAAGTGGTGAGAGTGGGCATCCTTGCCTTGTTCCTGACCTCAGTGGGAAAGCATTCACTCTCTTACTGTGAAGTATGATGACAGTTGTATGTTTTTCATAGATGCCCTTTTCAGGTTGAGGAAGCACCCTTCTATTCTTAGTTTACTGAGAGTTTGTTAGGAATGGATACTGGATTTTGTCAAATGCTTTTTCTATGTCTATTGAGATAATGTTTTTCTTGAGTCTATGAATAGAATTAACTACGTTGATTGATTTGCAAATGTTAAACCAACTTTGCATTTATGGGATAAACCTCACTTGGTCATGATGTCTTATCTTTTTTACATATTGGTGTATTTAATTAGTTGAGAGCTTTTACATCTATGTTCATGAGGAATATTGGTCTTCTTTTAATGTCTTTATCTGGTTTTGGTAACAGAGTAATACTTGCCTCATAGAATGAGGGAATGGGAAGTGGTCCCTACTTTTCAATTCTCTGGAAGAGTTTGTGTAGATTTACTATTAGGTATTTCTTCAATATTTTATGGAATTCAAGAATTAATTCTTACTAGCTTGGAAAAAAATTGTGTATGGACTGAAAGGATTAGAAAGTATATCCTGTCTAGCTCAGCTCCTAAGCTATCTCAGCCTGTCTTTGTCTTTGGGATGCTTTACAACTCTGTGACTTTTAGAAAATTGATTCTTGTCCGTAGAAGTGCAAACTAATTGTGTCTGGTGGAACACAATTTATTTTTGCCCTGTGGATTGATCTATCTTGCATATATCGTAAAATCATTTTACATTATTGCTTGTTGTTTGAATTTCTTTTGAATTAGTTGTAACATTTTACTGGTTCCCCATTAGATAATGAGCTAAATGAAGTCTCTGACATGAGTACCTTTTATATTTGCAGAGCAATTATAATTTTACCTTTAAAATTATCTTTTGGCTGGACGCAGTGAAATCCCAGCGCCTTGGGAGACTTGAGGTGGGAGGATCACATGAGCCCAGGAATTTGAGGTTACAGTGAGCTAAGATTGCACCACTGCATTCCAGCCTGGGTGACATAGGAATGATGAAAATTCTCAGTACAGGCTTTGTTTATTCTAAGTGTTGTTAGGTTGGTTAGTTGCTAATGACACACAAGGTCATTTATTGTAGATGGCAAAAATGACGATATCCAGAGAAGAGTTATTTTAGAGTTAAGATTAAAGAGAGGACTGAAAATTGTGTTCTCGGCTGGGCGTGGTGGCTCACACCTGTAATCCCAGCACTTTGGGAGGCTGAGGTGGGAGGATCACCTGAGGTCAGGAGTTCGAGACCAGCCTGGCCAACATGGTAAAACCCTGTCTCTACTAAAAATACAAAAATTAGCTGGGTGTGGTGGTGGGCGCCTGTAATCTCAGCTACTGGGGAGGCTGAGGTGGGAGAATCGCTTGAACCCGGGAGGCAGAGGTTGCAGTGAGCTGAGATTGTGCCATTGCACTCCAGCCTGGGCGACAAGAGCAAAACTCTGTTCAAAAAAAAAAAAAAAATTGTTTTCTCATTTTCAAAAAGAGGTATTTGGATAGATACTTTTTTATTTTTTCTTTTGAGATGGAGTCTTGCTCTGTTGCCCAGGCTGGAGTACAGTGGTATGATCTTGGCTCACTGCAACCAACCCCCACCTCTCCCCTGTGTTCAAGCAATTCTCCTGCCTCAGCCTCCTGAGTAGCTGGGACTACAGGTGCATGCTGCCATGCCCAGCTGATTTTTTGTATTTTAGTAGAGATGGGGTTTCACTATGTTGCCCAGGCTGGTCTCGAACTCCTGAGCTAAGACAATCTGCCCGCCTCGGCCTCCCAAAATACTGGGATTATAGGTGTGAGCCACCGTGCGCGGCCGATACTTTTTTTTTTGAGAGAGAGAGAAAGGGATTTGTTCTGTTGTCACCCAGGCTGGTGTGCAGTGGTGCAACCATGACTCAGTGCAGCCTCCGCCTCCTGGGCCCAACCTATCCTCCTACCACAGCCTCCCAAGTAGCTGGGATAACAGGTGCTTGCCACCACACTGGCTATTTTTTTTTTTTTTTTTTGTAGAGATAGGGTCTCCCTATGTTGTCCAGTCTGGTCTTGAACTCTTGGCCTCAAGCAATCCTCCTGCCTCAGCCTCCCAAACTATTGGGATTACAGGTGTAAGCCATCATGACCAGCCTGGATAGATACTTTCTAAGGTCCTTTCCCATTCTAACCATCCAACTCCAATCCACTGATTTCATGATGAATTTATTTTAATTTCCAGAGTTCAGTTTCGTTATTGTGTTTTTGTTTTTCGACAGTTTTGCTCTCATTGCCCGGGGTGGAAAGCAATGATGCGATCTTGGCTCACTGCAACCTCCACTTCCCGGGTTCAAGTGATTCTCCTGCATTAGCCTCCTGAGTTATAGGCATGCACCACCACCATGCAGAGACAGGGCTTCTCCATGTTGGTCAGGCTGGTCTTGAACTCCCGATCTCAGGTGATCTGCCTGCCTCGGCCTCCCAAGGTGCTGGGATTACAGGCGTGAGCCACTGCGCCCAGCCGGCTGGTTTCATTATTTGTTAAACGAGATAGTAACATCTGGCTGGGCGCAGTGGCTCATGCCTGTAATCTCAGCACTTTGGGAAGCTAAGGTGGGTGGATTGCTTGAGCCCAGGAGTTTGAGACCAGCCTGGGCAACATGGAAAAACCCCATCTCTATAAAAAATAAAAAATAATAATTTGCCGGACATGGTGGTGTGCACCTGTAATCTCAGCTACTTGGGAGGCTGAGGTGGGAGGATCACTTGAGGCTGGGAAGTGAACGTTGTTGCAGTGAGCTGAGATTGCACCACTACACTCCAGCCTGGGTGACAGAGCAAGACCCCATCCCCCCCCTCCAAAAAAAAAAGGACAGGAACATCTTCTGTATACATTTCAGATAATCAAATAACATGGAAAGCAAAAATAGATGTTCCTAACTCCAGTTCCCTCATTTGGGCCATAGATTAAATTTTGTCATCCATGTAATCTTCTAGGAAACCTGAATAAGCTGATTTTAATTTAATTTTTTTAACAACTGATAATCAATTTATTAAGACAGTCGACTTAAGCATCTGCAATGATGACTTCCACCTCAACTCCTGGCTCAATACCGATGGAGTCATCTGCTTAGCAATCTCAGAAGGACTGCGCGAGTCAGTGAGTTGCTTGTGGATTCTCATCTGGAAACGATTCCATGTCTTAGAACCTTCACCAAAAGGAGTTTCTCTTGTAGTGGTTCTCAAAGTCTTGGTAGGCATTCCAGTTGGTCCTTTCACTTTGAGATTCTTTTCTTTTGTCCCTCTGATCAAGTGGGCACACACCTTCTCCAGGGATTTTACCTTGCGGCTGGTTAGAGTGGTTCGAATTCGGTGAATTGCCACCTCAGCTCCACGGGTGATTTTACAGTATCTTTAAAAGCCTTGGCTCCTGCGTGGCTTCCTGACCAACTTGTTCCTGGGCAAGAGTAAACAGCGGTGAGTGAGGAGCGGGAGCGGGTGGATCCGAGCTCCTCACCACCTACGACTGCGTCCTCCTCAAAGAGTGAATTTTTTTCTTTTTGTGACAGAGTCTTGTTCTGTTGCCCAGGCTGGAGTGCAGTGGTGCCATCTCAGCTCACTGCAACCTCCGCCTCCTGGGTTTAAGCAATTCTCTTGCCTCAGCCTCCCAAGTAGCTGGGATTACAGGCACACGCCACCACACCCAGCTAATTTTTGTATTTTTGTTTCGCCATGTTGGCCAGGCTGGTCTCAAACTCCTGACTTCAGGTGATCTGCCTGTTTTGGCCTCCCAAAGTGTTGGGATTATAGGCATGAACCACGGTGCCCGGCCTAGTCTATGTTCTTAGTAGCTGAGCATATGTATACATCCTTTGAACCTTTGTGGGCCTGTTTCCTTATATTTTTTTCCCTCTTTATTTATTTTTTGAGACAGAGTCTTGCTCTGTCACCCAGGCTGGAGTGCAGTGGCATGATCTCAGCTTACTGCAACCTCTGCCTCCTGGGTTCAAGCAATTCTGCTGTCTCAGCCTCCCAAGTAGCTGGGATTACAGGTGCCTGCCACCACGCCTGGCTAGTTTTTTTTTGTATTTTTAGTAGAGACAGAGTTTCGCCATTATTGACCAGGCTGGTCTCCAACTCCTGGCCTCAAGTGATCCACCTGCCTTGGCCTCTCAAAGTGCTGAGACTACGGGCATGAGCCACGTACCTGGCCTGTTTCCTTATCCTTAAAATGAAATTAGGTTGGATAATATTTAAGTTCTCTTCTGATCTAAAGTTCAGAAAAAAATTTTATAACGTGAGAGAACAATAGGAAGTATATCATACATTTTCATGTCTATCAATCTATCCACCAATCTTCCATCCCTTTACTCTGTAAATATTTTCTGTGTGCGAGGCGCCGTGCAAGCTACAGAAACAATGTCCAAGATGTAGCCCTGCTTTCAAGGGTGTTATGGAAATCCTTCTCCTGCCAGGGTGTGAGGAGGTGGGGAGAGGGGAGAACTGAGGAGAACTCCTTGAAGGGGCCTTTACTAGCCAGTGCTACAGGAAGCTGCTAATCAATCAGTTAATTAATTAACAATCAGCAAATGGCAGCCAGTGGGGAAGTGTGGCTTAGCTTCCAGATGCTAATTACTGGCCCCTTTATGGAGCCGAGACAGGGCAAATCATTGCAGGATCCCAGATGAGTTGGCACACAGACATTGCGAGGAGGGTGCGATTCTCCTTTGTACCAGCATGCTTGCCAGCTTTTATCTAGTGAGATTAATTAGAACTTTTAGAAGTGCAAGTTAGGGCCATAAAATATTAACATTCATGTCACTGGTAATCTGTGAGTGTACTGAGAGAGCCCGGAGCGATTTTAGGGTATGGTTGCTTGGACGGGGATCTGGAGGTTTAGTTTTCCACTCTTCTCCGGTGAAGGTTTCTCAGTGGCTGCTCAGTGGCTCTGGATCCTCACCAAACTGACCCCTGCCATTGAATGTCCCTTGCCTCTGTGAGTTCATGCATTCATCTCTCTCATCCCTTTCATGCTTCCCAGAAACTCTAATGTCATGTTGGCGCATTTGTTGTACACCTACACGTGGAATCCCGGCTGTGGGTCTCTAGGAAAACGGCCTGGCTCAGTGTTCCAGGTTGTTCCTCCCATCGTTATCATGACCTCTGATGCCCCATCAACAGAAACTCCCGTGACTAAATGCTCCGGGAAGGTGATGCTAATGATGGACTGGTTCATTTGCCTTACTTTTCTTTTCTTTTTCTTTTTTTTTCTTTCAGAATAGCTGGGATTACAGGCGCCTGCCACGACGCCCGGCTAAATTTTGTATTTTTAGTAGAGACAGGGTTTCACCATGTTGGCCAGGCTGGTCTCAAACTCCTGACCTCAGGTGATTCACCTGCCTTGGCTTCCCAAAGTGCTGGGATTTACAGGTGTGAGCCACCGTGCCAGGCCACACCTACAGCACCCAGTATTCCCAGGCAGTCTCCCATCCACGTACTAACCAGGCCTGACCCTGCTTAGCTTCCCAGATCAGACTAGATCGGGTGCATTCAGGGTGGTATGGCGGGAGATTTTTTTTTTTTTTTTTTTGAGATGGAGTCTTATTCCATCACACAGGCTGGAGTGCAGTGGCGCGATCTCAGCTCACTGAAACTTCTGCCTCCCAGGTTCAAGCGATTCTCCTGCCTCAGCCTCCTGAGTAGCTGGGATTACAGGTGCCCACCACCACACCCAGCTAATTTTTGTATTTTTAGTAGAGACGGGGCTTCACCATGTTGGTCAGGCTGGTCTTGGACTCCTGACCTCAAATGATCCACCCGCCTTGGCCTCCCAAAGTGCTGGGCTTACAGGCATGAGCCACCGCGCCCGGCTGCCTTACATATTTACATATTTCCCAAGTGTTCCTAGCTAGGAACTATTGCTGTTACTCAAACTCCTACAGGGAAGGTCAGGGCCTGCTTTGGACAGTTCCAGGGACAGTGACCAGTGCAAATAGTGGGTTGATGCTTCTTTATTTCTTCTTCTCTTTTTTTGAGACAGGGTCTCCCTCTGTTGCGTAGGCTGGAGTGCCGTGGTGCAATCACCGCTCACTGCAGCCTCAACCTCCTGGTTCAGTTGATCCTCCCACCTCAGCCTTCTGAGTAGCTAGGACTACAGGTGCGTGCCACCATATTCAGCTGATTTTTTGTTGTAATTTTTGTGGAGATGGGGTTTTGCCATGTTGCCCAGGCTGGTCTTGAATTTCTGAGCTCAAATGATCCACCTGCCTCAGCCTCCCACAGTGCTGGGATTACCAGTGTGAGCCACTGTGCCTGGCTAGGATAATGTTTCTTCCAATCACAATTGCAATATTATGGATTTTTTTTTTTTTTTTTTTTTGAGACAGAGTCTCATGTTGCCTAGGCTGGAGTGCAGTGGTGCAATCTCAGCTCACTGCAACCTCCGCCTCCTGGGTTCAAGCAATTCTCCTGCTTCAGCCCCCCAAGTAGCTGGGACTACAGGCATGCACCACCACGCCTGGCTAATTTTTGTATTTTTAGTAGAGACGGGGTTTCGCCATGTTGGCCAGGCTCGTCTTGAACTCCTGACCTCAGGTGATCCACCCACCTGGCTCGACCTCCCAAAGTGCTATGATTACAAGCTTGAGCCACCGCGCCCGGCTGCGGTATCATGGATTTACATGAAAAGAAATATACGGTATTAGAACTCTGGGACTTTAAGATGTGCTAGGTAAGATTTCTCAGGTACAGATGAATTGTCTCAGACACAGAACTCTCACAATGCACTGCTGGGGAGACGCAGAAACCCTGAGGTACCCCCTTCCCACATGCTGTCTTCTAAGGAATGACAAGACCTGACCACAACTAGACCCAATAGGCTAACATGACCATTTCAGCTCCATCATGTGAGTGGGCCTTTGTCCCACTGAGGTTTCCCATCACCCTCTGGGTACCTTTCTCCAGTTAAATTTCCATGTTATGAACTCTGCCTTCCCTACCAAGAAGTGTGAATTCACGGCTGGGTGCAGTGGCTCACGCCTGTAATCCCAGCACTTTGGGAGGCCAAGGCAGGATGATCACTTGAGATCAGGAGTTCAAGACCAGCCTGGCCAGCATCGTGAAACCCCGTCCTACTAAAAATACAAATATTAGCTGGGCATGGTGGTGCATGCCTGTAATCCTAGCTACTTGGGAGGCTGAGGCAGGAGAATCACTTGAAACCAGGAGGCAGAGGTTGCAGTGAGCCGAGATTGTGCCACTGCACTCCAGCCTGGGTGACAGAGCAAGACACCTTCTGGAAAAAAAAAAGAAGTGTGAACTCAGACTCCTAGAGACTCCTAGCCTCTCTGCCAGGAGACATGGACACGCTTCCCAGCTCACACCCCTCGGATGCACCTGTGTTAAGCTTTCGCGTGACAGGGACTGGTTGACGGGAGAGGCTCTGTGCACAGATCCTGCTCTGCTGGTACTGCTAGTGGTGGTGACACCTGGCTGCTGGGGGCAGCAGCAGTGGCAAGAGTGAGTCTCTGAGGGCCCATGTTGGGTTCAGCTATGCTTGCAGGAAAGTCACGCCCCTGGGTTCAGGTCTCGGGATAGGCTGTGGCTGTGGCTGTGGCCATGGTCCTGAGAGTTGCCACAGGAAGCTCAGCCTCAACGCCTTTCTTCCGACCCCTCTCAAGGGGGGTTGAGCTTGTGAGTTACCTGAGGTCTTTTTTTTTTTTTTTTTTTTGAGACGGAGTCTCGCTCTGTTGCCCAGGCTGGAGTGCAGTGATCTCGGCTCACTGCAAGCTCCATCTTGCGGGTTCACACCATTCTCCTGCCTCAGCCTCCCAAGTAGCTGGGACTACAGGCGCCCGCCATCACGCCCGGCTAATTTTTTGTACATTTAGTAGAGACGGGGTTTCACCATGTTAGTCAGGATGGTCTCAATCTCCTGACCTCGTGATCCACCCGCCTCGGCCTCCCAAAGTGCTGGGATTACAGGCATGAGCCACCGCGCCCGGCCAACCTGAGATCTTTAGCAAATCTTTTGTGTGTCTGTCTTTTTCTGCTTAAATTAGCCATGGTGAATTCTGTTCTGAGTTTTGTTTTTGGTAACTAAAAATCCTGACCCTTACACATTGGTACCAGGAGTGGTCCCAAGCAACAGACCTTCAGGAAAAGCGGGATATGAAGTTTGTTATCTGAAATGAGTGGGTCTGAACACAGAGAGAATGCATTTCGTGTAGAAGGGTGAGCACCAGGGGCAAAAGTGTCACTTCAGTGAGGACTTTGTCGTGACCTGGACTGTCACATCCATTGAAGGCAAGGCTTTGTGCGGAATGAAAGGGGACAGCCATGGAATGGGATGGAAACAAGAAGGTTAAACTTGGCGCGTTGTTTGGCTGCATTTAGATACACTGGAGGCCCCTGTAGTTCCCGAGCACGATGACTGGGTGTTCACGTGCACGTGTGGGATGTGCCACCCTCTGAACCTTGTTACGATGTTGGCACATTACCCTGGACCTGACCTTGGATAAATAAATAAATAAATAAATAAATAACTACACTGGATGCCAGTTGTGGTGGCTCACACCTGTAATCCCAGCACTTTGGGAGGCCAAGGCAGGCAGATGACTTGAGGTGAGGAGTTTGAGACCAGCCTGGACAACATGGTGAAACCCCGTCTCTACTAAAAATATAAAAATTACCTGGATGTGGTGGCAGGTGCCTGGAATCCCAGCTACTCAGGTGGCTGAGGCAGGAGAATCACTTGAACCCCAGGAGGCGGAGGTTGTAGTGAGGCAGGATCAGACCACTGCACTCCAGGGCGACATAGTGAGACTCTGTCTCAGGAAAAAAAAAAAAAAAAAATTGGCCAGGCATGTTGGCTCACACCTGTAATCCCAGCAATTTGGGAAGCTGAGGCAGGTAGATCACCTGAGGTCAGGAGCTGGAGACCAGCCTGACCAACGTGGTGAAACCCCATCTCTACTAAAAATACAAAGTTAGCCAGGTGTGGTGGCGGGTGCCTGTAATCCCAGCTACTTGGGAGGCTGAAGCAGGAGAATCACTTGAACCTAGGAGGTGGAGGTTGCAGTGAGCCAAGATTGTGCCATTGCACTCCAGCCTGGGTGACAAGAGCAAAACTCCGTCTCAGAAAACGACAACAACAACAACAACACTGGAGACAATAAGTCTTAAGTTTTGGCTTAAGATGTTTTCAAAGAACTGGGGAATTTCTGACTCTTCTGAATGGGAATCTCCAACAATGGCAGTGTGCGGCTGCCGGTCTATGCAGCTTTGGCCACTGGGTACTGTTTACAGTCTGTGACAGGCTATGCACTATTTTGTGAACAGGAGGACTCCCATAAGGAGGACTCCACAGGGTCCAGTGGCTTGGATGGGGCCATGCGGAAAGATCTGGATGACCTGGAGCTTGCTGTATCCCCAACCCACAGAGTGCCCCTTCCAGCAGAAGCTGCCCCCCTTCTGCCTGATGGAGCTTGAAGACCCCATAATAGGCTCACAAGACTGTCACATGTGAGAAGGAGCCAGCTGTCCTCATGCTAAACTCTCACCCCACCTCCTGCCTCCAAGCCAGTGAATGGATTCTAGGCGGTCTTTCACTGAGCTGGTGGTTATTACTTGCCCCCAGAGTCTAACTAATAGATTGCTGCTTTAGGCTCCTGTTGTAACAGGGAGTTCTGCTATCAAAACAGAACAAAATAAAACTGGCTGGGTGCAGTGGCTCACACCTGTAATCCCAGCACTTTGGGAGGCCCAGGCCGGTGGATTATTTGAGGTCAGGATTTCGAGACCATCTTGGCCACATGGCAAAACCTCGTCTCTACTAAAAATACAAAAATTAACTGGGCATGATGGAGCGTGCCTATAATCCCAGCTACTTGGGAGGGTGAGACGGGAGAATTGCTTGAACCCAGGAGGCAGAGGTTGCAGTGAGCCGAGATGGCACCACTACACTCTAGCCTGGACACAGGGTGAGACTCTGTCTCAAAACAAAAAAAGAACACAACCAAACCCAGCCTACTCCCTCTCCGTTGTCACCTCCCTCCGTGGCCCTCCTGGTTTGAATTAGTGACAGTGGTGGAGGGTGGGGCAGAACAATTGGCCACAACAAGAAACAAACCAACCAAAAAGTATGTAGGTGGCTATGAGGCAGTCACTGTGGTGTCCTGCCCAGGGCCCACGCTGGGTAATCATGTTTGTCTGTCTGTTTTCCTTTGCATCTTCAACTAGACGTGGGCGTTCGTTACTCCTGGACAAAACTTCCGTTAGCTCCTTGTCCCCTGTGGCAGGCCGGCCTGCACATGCCTGGGAGGGATTTCTCTTCCCAGGAGCAAATAAGTTTGTCCCTGAGCAGTTTCTGGATTTGTTTATGGAGACTTTAGGGAAGATAAACATGAAAATTTTGATACAAATTTGAAGTCCTGGGAGTTGTGATAATGAGTGTGGCTGTGAATATTGCTTCCAGTTCTGGAAAGACCTGTGCAGCTGCAGCTCTCAGTGGGCTTGTGGGACTGGCCTGGGGACCCAGCCACTCTCAACAAGGTCCCCAGACCAGAATTGCTCTGAAGGTGTCTTTCTTTTGTTTTGTTTTTGTTTTTTTGAGATGGAGTCTCACTCTGTCACCAGGCTGGAGTGCAGTGGTGCGATCTTGGCCCACTGCAACTTCTGCCTCCCGGGTTCAAGCCATTCTCCTGCCTCAGCTTCCCGAGTAGCTGGGATTATTACAGGCACACACCACCACGCCCAGCTAATTTTTGTATTTTTAGTAGAGGTGGGGTTTCACCATGTTAGCCAGCACGGTCTCCATCTCTTGACCTCGTGATCCGCCTGCCTCAGCCTCACAAAGTGCTGGGATTACAGGCGTGAGCCAATGCGCCCGGCTTTTTTTTTTTTTTTTTTTTTTTTGAGACAAAGTCTGAGTCTGTCGCCCAAGCTGGAGTGCAGTGGCATGATCTCGGCTCACTGCAACCTCTGCCTCCCGGGTTCAAGCAATTCTCCTGCCTCAGCCTCCCGAGTAGCTGGGACTACAGGCACATACCGCCATGCCTGGCTAATTTTTGTATTTTTAGTAGAGACGGGGTTTCATTATGTTGACCAGGCTGGTCTCGAACTCCTGATCTCGTGATCCGCCCGCCTTGGCCTCCCAAAGTGCTGGGATTACAGGCGTGAGCCACCGTGCCCAGCGAAACTGTCTTTCAAGATGTTTCTTGGTCTTTAGTGTACGTCTGAATATTCACATAAATGCTTGCTTGAGTGCTTTTAAAAGGGAAAAAACCTTGGAAATAACCTAAATGTCTGCAGCAGGAGAAAGTCTGAATTTATCACGGTACATCTAGAGACAGGAAATCTAGGTGTTAGGTAGATGTCGGAAAGTTGGAGAGCTAAGTTTTGAAAGAGTTTGTCAAAAGCAAAATGGCTCAGAGACGTCACTTTAAATGGCAGCATCATATTTGATTATATGGATACACAGGACTGTAACTTCTTTATCCAGTTTCCTATTGTTAAGTAGTAAAGTTGTCTTCAGTTATATTTGCTATTAGAAATAACTTGATGGTCTTTTTTAATACAAAATTTTCTATTGCTTAAAACTTTCCTTAAAATAGATTCCCAGAAGGGGAATTTCTAGATCAAATGGTTTGGATTTTAAGGATTTCCAAAGTGCTTTTCACATTTGTACTGATTTACTCCCCTGCCACTGTGTATGAAAATTGAATTCTACTCTCCCCAAAATTATTATTATTGTCTTTAATTAGAATGCCTAAAATGCTGTTTCATATTGTTTTAGTTTACATTTCTGGGTTATCACTTTGGCTGACCATTTGTATTTTATTTATATTTTATTTTTGTTTTTTTGAGACAGGGTCTCGCTCTGTCACCCAAGCTGGAGTGCAGTGGCACAATCATGGCTCACTGCAGCCTTGACCTCCTAGGGTCAAGCAATTCTCCTGCCTCAGCCTCCCAAGTAGCTAGGACTACAGGCGTGTACCACCATGCCCGGCTAATTTTTTATTTTTTGTAGAGACAGAGTTTCACCATGTTTGCTGATCTTGAACTCCTGGGCTCAAGCTCAAGCAATCCTCCCACCTCAGCCTCTCAAAGGGCTGAGATTACGGGCATGAGCCACCATGCTCGGCCCAGCTGACCACTTTTAATGGTTTTTAAAGTTACTTGTGTACTTTCTTGGAATTACCTGTTTACACACTGGGCCCATTTTTCTCTTGAGTTTTAGTGTTTTTCCTATTAATTTATACAAACTTTTAACTAGGGCAGTTCATGGTACTGCACACCGCCTACCTGCGGCTGGCCTTTGGAAACCCTTTAGTTCGGTAATAACGAGTGGCCTCTGCCTTGTGCCAAAGAGTTCTTCTGCGAATCCCAAAGTTAACAGCTTATATCTTGTCCAGGCAAAAGGAGACGCGTCCTACGCAGATTGTTTGTATGTAACAAGAGCGTATTTTTAAAACCATGTGAATAACTCACATTACAATTCATTTAAAATATGATCCTCTTGCATGGCTCATTAAGTGAAACCTGAAGGAATCAATATTAGATTTATTTATTTATGTGTTCACTTATTTTGAGACAGACTCTCTCTCTGTTGCCCAGGCTGGAGTGCAGTGGCGCATTCTCGGCTCATTGCAACCTCCCGCTCCTGGGTTCAGGCGATTCTCGTGCCTTAGCCTCCCAAGTAGCTGGGACTACAGATGTGCACCACCACACCCAGCTAACGTTTTTTGTATTTTTAGTAGAGGCAGGGTTTTGCCATGTTGGGCAGGCTGGTCTCGAACTCCTGGCCTCAAGTGATCCGCCCACCTTGGCCTCCCAAGGTGGTGGGATTATAGGTGTGAGCCTCTGTGCCTGGCCAGCTTAGATTTATGTGTATGCGGTGAGTAACCAATCTGTTTTATTTAGACCATGACATTGTAAGTGATTTATTGTCTTTGGAAAGTGACAGTCCCAAAGCTGGCTATATCAATAATTTTGTTAGATTTGACAGCAATAGAATATTTTCAGGATATTTGTTTGTGATAAACCACCAAAAGGGAGGGCAAATAGGAGCCTGGACTGAAGGTCCTGAGTGGGCGCGTGACATCTGGGAGTCCAGCAGCTGCTGCAAGGCATATGATAGCATATGAGTTTTAACTGACCTCCAAGGAAAATTGCATTACTAAGAGGGGAATTTTAAGACAAAAAATAATGTGGTACGGTTAGACGCTGATTCAAAGGACATAAAAATTATTATTATTGTTTTTTGAGACAGAGTCTCACTCTGTCACCCAGGCTGTAGGGCAGTGGTGTGATCTCGGGTCACTACAACCTCTGCCTCCCGGGTTCAAGCGATTCTCCTGCCTCAGTCTCCTGAGTAGCTGGGATTACAGGCGCGCACCACCACGCCCGGCTAATTGTTTTTGTATTTTTAGTAGAGATGGCGTTTCACCATGTTGCTCAGGCTGGCCTCCAACTCCTGACCTCATGATCTGCCCACCTCGGCCTCCCAAAGTGCTGGGATTACAGGTGTGAGCCACCACACACGGCCCATATAAAACTGATTTTTAAGAGAAGCCATAGGAAAACCACAAACTTAGTCTTGAGTAGCAGAGCCTCATTTACTGGCCAGCTCCCAGGAACTAGTCAGAGTTGGTTGGGGACTGGTTCTCTAGTTTTCCTCATGTTTACCTGAGTGAGCTGGCTGTTGCTAGTCGTGCACTAACGGAAGATGCCTTCACACTGCCTTTTGTGACTTTTCCTGTCACCACCCTCTTTGGGCAGATGCAAACCACGCACGCGGCAACTCAGTTTTCATGCAGCCAGCTTTTCTTGCCCCTTTTCTTTCTTGAGTAAATGCTATCCTCCTTTAACTGGGGTAAAAGCCTTTGTAGCCATCCCTAATTCTTTCTCCCGCATTGTACCTCCACGCCATCAGCCTAACAGGAAACGTGTGTCTGCCGTATCCCGCCACTTCTCCCCCCCACGCCGGGGCCGCCTGTCTAAGCCACCAAGGCCGCGCGTCTTCTCTGCAGAAGTTGTCTCCTAACTGGCTCTTCTGTGTCCACTTAGGCCCTGGCAAACAACTCTACGCACAGCAGCCAGAGTGATCTTTCCAGAGCATGAGTCAGGGAATGGCACTGCCCAGGACAAAACTTTCCAATGACTTCCAATGACTTTTATTAAATTAAAAATCAAAATCAAAATCTTTACTACGGTCTCCCAGATAGTCCCAGCCCTGGCGTCTGACTCCCCCTGAATTTGCCTCCCAGCCCTCCCTGTTGCTCCTCGAGTCCCTGCTGCTCCTTGAGCAGGCCAGTCCCCTCCCATCCGAGGGCCTTGCAAATATCTGGGCTTTGCTTGAATGTTCCCTCCTCAGATATGCCTTCCCTCACCACCGCATCTAAAACAGCACCCTCTTCACCACCTGTCACCTCTCTCTTCTTTATTTTTCCTCCTAGCACCTGTCACCACCTGACATTAGATTATGTAATTGTGTGTTAATGTACTTGTTATTATCTGTGTACTCTCCCTACTCCCATCTTGTTCACTGTTATACCCCCACTACCAAGAACAGTATCCGGCCATAGTACATGCTCAGTAAGTTCAATATTAGTTGAATGAATTTTTTCCTTTTTCTTTTTTGAACATAAACTCAAGATTTTATTATGTCTTCATAATAAAACAAAAGATGACACTTAGAACTGGATCACTTGGCCCTTTCTCTTCTTACCTCCTCCCAGTTCAAAATGCTTGCATCTTTTAATAGCCAGCATTCTCTTAGATCTGCAGTTGGGCTCAATGCACTCAAGCCTTAGCACAATCTTCTTTGTAGTTTTAGCCTTTTTCCGGAAAATCGGCTTAGTCTGCCCACTATAGCCACTCGGCTTCCTGTCATAACCCACTCACCCTGGGCATACAGAGAATCCTTGTCCTTCTTGTACTGTGTCACTTTGTGGGGATGGTGTTTGCCACACTTCTTACAGAAAGTCCCGCGGGTTGGCCAGGCATGGTGGCTCACACCCGTAATCCCAGCACTTTGGGAGGCCAAGGTGGGCAGATCATTTGAGGTCAGGAGTTTGAGACCAGCCTGGACAACATGGTGAAACCCCGTCTCTACTAAAAATACAAAAATTAGCCAGGCGTGGTGTTGGGTGCCTGCAATCTCAGCCCCTCAGGAGGCCGAGGCAGAAGAATCGCTTGAACCCAGGAGGTGGACATTGCAGTGAGCTTAGATCTCACCACTGCACTCCAGCCTGGGTGACAGAGTGAGACCCTGTCTCAAAAAACAAGCAAACAAACAAACAAAACAGAGCGAGACTCTCTCAAAAAAAAAAAAAAAAAAAAAAGTCCTGTGGGTTTTAGGAACATTCACCATGTTTGCAGGATCGCTATTGGCACAGAAGGCAATTTTTTTTTCTTAATCTCAAATGCGATAGTAGAATGAATGAATTTTTGAGTCCACTTTTATGTTTTCTACCTTTAAATCTGAGTGGATAGAGACTGTCGCAGCTTTGGAGTGACCTAGGTGATAAGATGGATAATGAGAGAATTTCATTTCAAAGAAAAGCATCCAAATATGGAATGTTGTGGGCAGTGTGTGGGAAGAAAGGTTAAGCAAGACGGCAGAGTTCAAGTGAGTGGGCAGCAAGAGAATCGAGAGGGGAACGTTAACTTGGAGAATTTTGAAACTATGAGCTTTCAATTCTACTTTAGATGATGCCAGAGAAATGAAGCAGATTTAGAAGGTTTCGATCGTTTTGTGGATGTCATTGCTATTGTAGTTATCATTTTCAGCAAGATAATTTGTTAAGTACTTAATTGGTAAACAGAGTTTTCTGGGCAGCTACAAAAAATAAGTCAAACTAATATAGTCAGTAGAATAGCAAGAGGGAGTGGAACTACTAAGTTGAGGGGAAAGGAATAAAGAAAATCAGATCAAAGCAGCAAAACACAGAAGGGGGAAAAAAGCCAAACCATAAAAAGCAAGATAAACAGAATATGAGGATATTAAAAATTAGACCAGCCATATCAAGGATCATTAAAATTTTAAATAGATTAAGTTCTATTAAAGTACAAACAATCTCAGATTGCATTAAAAAGTTATAAGCTTTTTACAAGACATATATCTAAATAGAAAACATGAAGATATTAAAAATTACACCAGCCATATCGAGGAGCATTAAAAATTTAAATAGGCTAAATAAAACAGTTAAATAGACCAAGTTCTATTAAAATACAAAGAAACCTACATTGCGTTTAAAAAGTTATGCTTTTTACATGAAGTACATCCAAAACACAAATTTCACAGCAGGTCTGAAAATATAGGATGGACAAAGAGAAGGAAAAGTAAAGAAAGCAGGACTTGCAGTAGATACAACAAAAAGCATTAATGGGACTAAAATAGATACTTATATTAATAAAAGATATTAATTAAGATATAATTTTTTATGAATTGAGCAATATAGCTTTAAAATAATAAGGTAAACCCTATTGGAAATAATAGAATTTGACAAGGCAATGACAACTAGAGACATGAAATTCTTTAAAAAAAATTAAAAGATCAAGTAAATAAGGAAAAGAAATTGTAAGTTTAATAATACATTTGAAAATACAGATGATAGTTTGAAACAATTTTGTTTGGAAAACATAAATTAATCAAAAATAGAAAAAATTGAGTGGCCAGGCGCGGTGATTCACGCCTGTAATCCCAGCACTTTGGGAGGCTGGGGCAGGCGGATCACGAGGTCAGGAGTTTGAGAGCAGCCTGGCCAACATGGTGAAACCCTGTCTCTACTAAAAATACAAAAATTAGCTGGGCATGGTGGCAGGCGCCTGTAATCCCAACTACTCAGGAGGCTGAGGCAGGAGAATTGCTTGAACCCAGGAGGCAGAGGTTGCAGTGAGCCGAGATCGTGCAATTGCACTCCAGCCTGGGGGACAAGAGTGAGACTTCATCTCAAAAAATAAAAAAAAGAAAAAAAGAAAAAATTGAAATATAGTCAGATTTATTCCCCAAAATATTCCAAGCAAATTTCATGTTTAATAGGTAAATTCTATCGAAACTTCCAAAAAGTTATAGGTAACACACTTTTTTTGTTATTCAACTGCTCCAGAGAATAGAAGAAAAAGTGGAAAG
The DNA here is from genome assembly GCF_000001405.40 of Homo sapiens. Lineage (NCBI taxonomy): Eukaryota > Metazoa > Chordata > Mammalia > Primates > Hominidae > Homo > Homo sapiens. Next base: position 152,604,654 of record NC_000007.14, read on the forward strand.
AATTTCAATTCATTCCACAAGGTTAGCATAACCTTGATAGCAAAATTGGGCAAAGATACACTAAAAAGAAAATTATAAACATTGATTTAAAATGCCAGATAATGTATTAGCAAATCAAATCCAGTAATCAATTAAAAATTAATAGGTAGGGAGACATAAAAGTGTGAAATCTACTACAAATGCAGTTTACTATATTAATAGATAAGCGTAGAAAAACAAAATTATTTCAATAGATGCAACAATCAGTCCTAAAAAATTCTTAGTAACCTAGGAATATAAGGGACCAGGTGCAGTGGCTCACGCCTGTAATCCCAGCACTTTAGGAGGCCAAGGCGGGTGGACCACCTGAGGTCAGGAGTTCGAGACCAGCCTGACAATATTGTGAAACGCCCATCTCTACTAAAAATACAAAAATTAGCCAGGCATGGTGGCCGGCACCTGTAATCCCAGCTACTCGGGAGGCTGAGCCAGGAGAATCACTTGAACCCAGGAGGCAGAGGTTGCAATGAGCCAAGATTGAGCCACTGCACTCCAGCCTGGATGACAGAGCAAGACTCCATCTCAAAAAAAAAAAAAAAAAAAAAAAGGAATATAGGGAAACTGCTTCACTTTGATAAAGAAGTAAACAGCAGCAACCACACTTAAAGGTGAAAACACAAGCCATTCTCCTTAAAGTCAAGAATGGGACGAGGATGCTGCATAGCACTACTACTAGTCAGTATCTTACTGTAGGCCCTAGCCACTGCGAGAAATAAGGAGAGCAAAACTAAGTTTATAAAAAGAAATGACAAACTTACTGCTTACAGATGATACAACTGGTTATTTATGAAATCGTAAGAATCAACTAGCCAGGTGCAGTGGCTCACATCCGTAATCCCAGCACTTTGGGAGGCCTAGCGGGCTGACCACTTGAGCCTAGGAGTTTGAGACCAGCCTGGGCAACACAGTTAGACACTGTCTACACACACACACACACACACACACACAAAATTAACTGGGTGTGGTGACGTATGCCTGTAGTCCCAGCTACTCGGGAGGTTGAGGTGGGAGGATCACTTGAGCCCAGGAGGTCAAGGCTGCAGTGAGCCTTGATCATGCCACTGCACTCCAGCCTGGATGACAGAAGAAAAGAAAACAGAATAATTCAACTAAAAACGGAAAATTGTTCATATAAAAAGAGCACAACAGGATAACCAGTTATGAGTAAAACACGAATATATTAATAGCATTGGCAGGCTGGGTGCAGTGGCTCACGCCTCTAATCCCAGCACTTTGGGAGAATGAGACTCTGTCTCAAAAAAAATAGTAATAATAAGGCAATAACGATAAATTAGAAAACTTAATGGCAATAAAATTTTATTTAATAGCAAAACAAAAGCCCACCAAAACCATAAAATATTTAGGACTAGGAATAAGAGTGAATGTGTTATGTTTATTTTCCTTGTTATGTTTATTCTCTAAAACTCAGGAACATGAAGAATGTCTGAATCAATGGAGCTCTGCATTGCTTCCTAGTCAGGGAAGCTCATTCTTATGAAGATGCTAATTCTTTCCAAACTGATCCATAAATTCAATCCGATTTTAAGATGAAATACAACTCATTTAAAATTGTATCTTTATAAGCTGATTTAAAAGTTTATTTGGAGGCTGGGCACAGTGGCTCACGCCTGTAATACCAGTGCTTTGGGAGGCCGAGGCAGGCAGATCACGAGGTTAGGAGTTCAAGACCAGCCTGGCCAACATGGTGAAACCCCATCTCTACTAAAAATACAAAAATTAGCTGGCCATGGTGGTGCGTGCCTGTAATCCCAGCTATTCGGGAGGCTGAGGCAGGAGAACTGCCTGAACTGGGACCTGGGAGGTGGAGGTTGCAGTAAGCCAATATCACGCCACTGCACCAACCTGGGCTACAGAGCAAGACTCTGTCTCAAAAAAACAAAAAACAAAAATGAAACAAAAAAATGGTTTTGGAATAATAGCTTGTGGGAGAAGAGCCAGAGCCAGATATATATATATATATATATATATATAGCTTGAGCCCAGGAGTTCGAGACCAGCCTGTGCAACATGATGAAACTGTCTCTACTAGAAATACAAAAACTGAGGTGGGAGGATCACCTGAGCTTGGGGAGGTCAAGGCTGCAGTGAGCTGCGATCACGCCACTGTACTTCAGCCTCGGCGGCAGAGTGAGACCCCATCTCAAATAAATAAATAAATAAAACTACAAAAATACTAGAAGGAGATGTAAGAGGATGTTTTTGTAATGTTGGTGTGGGGAAGTCTCTCCTATACAAGACATCATCCAGAAGCCATAAAGAAAATATTTTTAGGTTTGGTCACAGAAAAAACTTTAAGTTCTACTCAGTGGGAGATATCATAAGTAGAATTAAAAGATGACCCATCTAGGAAAGGCATATAATGATAAAAATAATAACAAGAGCCAGCATGAATATAGGGGTTATTATGTGCTGGGAATGGTGCTAAGCATTTTACATGCATTATCTAACGGCTACTTGTAGGTATTATTGTTCCATTTTATAGATGGAGAAACTGAGGTCTAGGAAGTTCACATATATGCTAAAAGGGTTAATAGTGTACTGAGCATCTGCTGTTTTGGGTTGTTCAGCATCCCCTTTCCCTAAGAAGAGTCTCCTTTTGGCTTTGGAGCTCAAGAAGAATGGACCTTACCTTTGGGTTGACAAAGCTTGAAGGACTGAGGTGTCCTGTGGTTGCCGATGATTCTGGCTACAGAAGGAAAAGCTAACTGCAGAAGGATGGCATCAAGGCAAACAGAGATGAGGGAAGGTGAAAGGTAAATGGAGAGAAAGGTTTGAGTTATTGTTAGGGTCCCTGGATCCTGTTGCACCTGAGTGTAGATCTACTCTTGGGCTTCCAGTTATGGAGTCAATGAGTTCCCTCTTTTCTCCTTCCTTCCTTCCTTCCTTTCTTTTTCTTTTTTTTTTTTTCTTTTTGGCAGTCTTACTCTGTCACCCAAGCTAGAGTGTAGTGGCAGGATCTCAGTTCCCTGCAACCTCCGTCTCCCATGTTCAAGTGATTCTCCTGCCTCAGCCTCTCTAGTAGCTGGGATTACAGGCCCCTCACCATCACGCCCAGCTAATTTTTGTATTTTTAGTAGAGACAGGGTTTCACCATGTTGGCCAGGCTGGTCTCAAACTTCTGGCCTCAGGTGATCCACCTGCCTTGGCTTCCCAAAGTGCTAGGATTACAGGCATGAGCCACCGTGCCTGGCCAAGTTCCCTCTTAAGCTAATTTGGGTAGTTTATTCAACCCTAAGAACCCCAAACGCCCTGGCTAGGCTGATATAATATTCTCAGCATGTAAAGACTTCAACTACTTCAACTACAGAACAAAGACAGACCAAGATAGCCAATGGGCAAAGCATGTGAGTAGAAACTCAACGAAGAAGCACGAATGGGGGTTAGTTCTGAAGCTCGTCTCTGGGGTCCACGCCTCCCATGTGGAGGACCTGTAGTGTTTTTACCCACTTCTCCTGAGGTCTCCCCACTGCTGAGACGGCATCCACAACCATCTGGGTGTGCAGAGGGTTTTTCTTGAGCTCACTCTGCCCTACTATATGGACCTCTTATTTGGTTCTCTGAAATAATCTTCCTCAGAGAATTAGAAAAGATGAGAAATCGCTAGTGGCATATTGTTTCTGAAATATTAAGGAACTGAGAAAAGATTTCCCCCATCGTGTGGCTTCTGAGAACACCACGTGTGTGGGGGGGCTCAGGTGTGCCATGGGAGGGGTTTTGGTCATTAACCCGCTCCTTCTCCAGGATTCGACTGCTCTCCCACGTGGCTGGCTGCAGGGCCCGTAATGAAGCTGACAGCTCTTCCAGGCACGATTTTTCTTCCTTAAAGCATGGCTTCTTCGGAACAGAACCAATCAGAGTTTTATTTTATTCCGGTTCTGTGAATTGGTTGTGGGATGAAGCTTCTTGGGTGCGGGAGAAAAAGTGCCTGGATGAGGGGTTGAGACAGCACGTCACCACCAAGCATGTGGCATGGTGATAATTCAGTTGCAACCTTAGCGAGGACATACTCTGTGTTCAGCATTGCGGAAGATTCAAAATGAGTCAGAAAGGTCATTCTTGCTGTCCCAAGTACCCTATTAACCCTTTTAGCTCAGTACACTATTAACTCTTTTAGCATATATGTGAACTTCCTAGACCTCAGTTTCTCCATCTATAAAATGGAGCAATAATAATACCTCCTTCAGTACAGTTGAGGAGATAAGATAGGGGACTGGGAGGCAGTGGTGGGCATCTCTGATTCACCCACAGAGGGGATGAGGCTGAAGGTTGGAGAGAGTGAGGCAATAATGGAAGTAAAGACATCAAAAGCATATTTTAGACTCTGGTTCGTTTGGGGCAGGAAGGAAGAAGTTTAAGATGGGTGAGGATGTATTTACATTTGTAGGATACTGATACCAGACTGAATTTAATACAGGTTCACTGTCTCCTTAAACATAATAAGCTGGACAAGAAGCAATAACAATCTGTTAGTAAGGAACACCGTAATTCAAAGTTCTACTGAAAGGAACATGGCACCTTGGAAAACAATTATTCCAAGCACGGGACAGAAGAATGTCAAAGACTAGTAGGGCAACTCAGAAGGGCACATGACCCTTTCCTGCACCCCTTTAAGGCTGATGCAATGCTTTAAGAGGCTAACGCAGAAGGGTGAAGCCAGTCTCCTTAAAACCCAAAGAAGAGATTGTAAAACTTCTCTTTGGATCCTGTCTGGAGTCACAGCTGGAAAAAAAAGGAGCAGGGGTCCTGACAGAACAAATTTGAAAAGGCTATTATTTTATTATTATTATTAATTTTGAGACAGAGTCTCACTCTGTTGTCCAGGCTGGAGTGCAGTGGCGTGATCTTGGCTCACTGCAACCTCCGCTTCCCGGGTTCAAGTGATTCTCCTGCCTCGGCCTCTCGAGTAGATGGAACTACAGGCACACACGCCACCACGCCCCGCTAATTTTTTTGTATTTTTAGTAGAGAGAGGCTTTTGTCATGTTGCCCAGCCTGGTCTCAAACTACTGGCCTCAAGTGATCTGCCCACCTCAGCCTCCCAAAGTGCTGGGGTTACAGGCGCAAGGCATCATGCCCGGTGGAAAAGGCTATCATTGGTTAAACTTGGGTTAACTTTAGCTTTAGAAAGTAGGACTGCAAAGATTGAAACACATCAAACATAGAAAAATCCATGAGTTCGTAATGATATTCCAAAAATATTTTCATAGTTAAAGGTGCTTAAGGAAGCAACTCATTAATTTGATACCAATAAGGGGAAGGAATCAAGTATTTATCCTGCCTTTGCAAACATGACGGGGGAATTCTTCTCTATAGAAGAACTATAGCTAATATATGCCAAAGGAATGAAAACATTAGAATGCTGCCATTTAGTAAACCCTAACAAAATCATTCTAGCCACTGATTATCAATATCTGCTAAAATTATTGGGTGAAATGTTAATAGGGAACTTTAGAATAGATGGGTCAGGCTGACAACATTTGAACTCTGATCAGTTCTAACATTATTGGATAGTGAGAGATTTTGTGCCTCCTGAATAAAAAGCAAAAGCAAGTTCACAGCACCACCTATAAAGTATTCTTGGGTTTTTTATTTGTTTGTTCTTTGTATTTCTTTGTCGCTCTGTCACCCAGGCTGGAGTGCAGTGGCACGATCTTGGCTCACGGCAATCTCAGCCTCCCAGGCTCAAGCGATTCTCTCACCTCAGCCTTCTGAGTAGCTGGGACCACAGGTGCGTGGCACCAGGCCCGGCTAATTTTTTGTATTTTGTGTAGAGATTGGGTTTTGTCTTATTCCCCAGGTTGGTTTTGAACTCTAGGGCTCAAGTGATCCTCTCACCTCGGCCTCCCAAAGTGTCAGAATTACAGGTGTGAGCCACCGCGCCCAGCCCAAGGTATTCTTGAAAAACAAAAACAAACACAAAACAAAAAAAACCTAACTCTCATGAATGGTCTAAATTTTTCTACTAGTTTATAGAAAATATGGGGGCTAAAGGAGCACATAAAAGAACACTGTGAGGCGGCCAGGCACGGTGGCTCATGACTGTAATCCCAGCACTTTGAGAGGCCAAGGCAGGTGGATCACTTGAGGTCAGGAGTTCAAGACCAGCCCGGCCAACATGGTGAAACTCTGTCTCTACTAAAATTACAAAAATTAGCTGGGCGTGGTGGCGGGTGCCTGTAATACCAGCTACTTGGGAAACTGAGGCACGAGGCTCTCTTGAACCGGGAGGCGTAGGTTGCAGTGAGTCAAGATCGCGCCACTGCACTCCAGCCTGGGCGACAGAGCAAGAATCCGTCTCAACAAAAAAAAAAAAAAAAAAAAAAGAGCACTGAGGATATAATCTGCCACATTTAGACTGTAAAATTGTGTAGGACAAATGACGACCTCGTCATGCAATCACAACTAAGTTCAGGGTGACCTTGATTTCATCCTGATTCAAACAAACTGAAAAGGCCGGGTGCGGTGGCTCACGCCTGGAATCCCAGCACTTTGGGAGACCAAGGTGGGCAGATACCTGAGGTCAGGAATTCAAGACCAGCCTGACCAACATGGTGAGACCCCCATCTCTACTAAAAATACAAAAAATTAGCTGGGTGTGGTGTCAGACATCTGTAATCCCGGCTACTCAGGTGGCTGAGGCAGGAGAATCACTTGAACCTGGGAGGCGGAGGTTGCAGTGAACGGAGATTGCGCCACTGCACACTGCATTCCAGCCTGGGTGACAGAGAGAGACTCCGTCCCCCCAAAAAACAAACAAACTGAAAAGACATTTTAATTATTTTAGTTGTTTGGTCTTTTATTTTTAGAAACAGAGTCTGGCTGTGTTGCCCAGGCTGAAGTGTGGTGGAGTGATCATAGCTCACTGCAGCCTTGAATTCCTGGGTCCAAGTGATCCTCCTGCCTCAGCCTCCTGAGTTCCTGGGGCTACAGGTGCACGCCACCATTCCTGGCTAATTTTTTATTTTTTGTGGAGACAGCATCTCCCTCTGTTGCCCAGGCTGGTCTGGAACTCCTGGCTTCATGCAGTCTTCCCGCCTTGGCCTCCTACAGTGCTGAGATTACAGTTGTGAGCCACCACACCCGGCCTAGTTTTTAATTTTTATGGGTACATAATAGGTATATATGTTCATGGGTGCATGTGATGATAAAGGTAGACCATGTGTAATAATCACGTCTGGGTAAGTGGGGTATCCATCACCTTGAGCATTTATCATTTCTTTGTGTTAGGAACATGGAAAATTAGACTCTTTTATCTATTTAAAAATATACAATAGGGCTGGGCACGGTTGCTTATGCCTGTCATCCCAGCACTTCGGGAGGCCCAGGCAGGCGGATCACCTGAGGTCAGGAGTTTGAGGCCAGCCTGACCAACACGGTGAAACCCTGTCTCTACTAAAAATACAAAAAATATTAGTTGCGCATGGTGGCAGGCACCTGTAATCCCAGCTACTTGGGAGACTGAGGCAGGAGAATCACTTGAACGTAGGAGAATCACTTGAACCCAGGAGGCAGAGGTCGAATTGAGCTGAGATGGCACCATTGTACTCCAGCCTGGGCGACAGTGCAAGATTCCGTCTCAAAATACGTGTGTGTGTGTGTGTGTGTGTGTGTGTGTGTGTGTGTGTGTGTGTATAAACACAATAAATTATTGTTTAGTGTAGTCACCTGTTGTGCTAGATCTTATTCTATCTAACTATATTTTTGCCCCCATTAACCATCCTCACTCCACCCCCACACCTACCACTACCCTTCCCAGCCTCTGGTAACCATCATTCTATTCTCTATCCCCATGAGTTTGTTTTAAATTTTAGTTCTCACATATGAGTGAGACATGTGCAATTGGTCTTTCTGTGCCTGATTTCACTTAATGTAATGTCTTCCAGTTCCATCTGTGTCACAAATGACGGAATTTCATTCTTTTTTTGGCTGAGTACGTGTCCATTGTGTACATGTACCACATTTTCTTTATTCATTTGTCGGTTGATGGAGGCTTAGGTTGCTTCCAAACCTTGGCTATTGTGAATAGTGCTGTGATAAACATGAGAGTGCAGATATCTCTTTGATACATTGATTTCCTTTCTTTGGGGTTGATATGGTTTGGCTGTTTCCCCAGCCAGATCTGAACTTGAATTGTATCTCCCAGGATTCCCATGTCTTGTGGGAGGGACCCAGGGGGAGGTAATTGAACCACGGGGGCCAGTCTTTCCCATGCTATTCTCATGATAGTGAATAAGTCTCATGAGATCTGATGGGTTTATCAAGGGTTTCCGCTTTTGCTTTTTCCTCATTTTCTCTTGCCGCCACCATGTAAGAAGTGCCTTTCGCCTCCAACTATGATTCTGAGGCCTCCCCAGCCATGTGGAACTGTAAGTCCAATTAAACCTTTTTTCTTCCCAGTCTGGGATATGTCTTTATCAGCAGTGTGAAAACAGAGTAATACACAGGTGTATACCTAGCAATGGGATTGCTGGATCATGTGGTAGCTCTATTTTCAGTTTGTTGAGGAACCTCCATACTGTTCTCCATAGTGGCTGTACTAATTTACCTTCCCACCAACAGTGTATGAGGGTTCCCTTTTCACCACATCTTCGATCCTTGTCAGCATTTGTTATTGTCTGTCTTTTGGATGACAGCCATTTTAACTGGGGTGAGATGATATCTCATGTGTGTTTTTTTTTTTTTTTTTTTTTTTTTTTTTGAGACAGAGTCTCACTCTGTCACCCAGGCTAGAGTGCAGTGGCACTATCTTGGCTTCACTGCAACCTCTGCTTCCTGGGTTCAGGCGATTCTCCTGCCTCAGCCTCCCGAGTAGCTGGGACTACAGGTGTGTGCCACCATGCCCAGCTAATTTTTGTATTTTTAGTTGAGACGGGCTTTCACCATGTCGGCCAGGATGGTCTTGATCTGTTGACCTTGTGATCCACCCACCTTGGCCTCCCAAAGTGCTGGGATTACAGGCATGAGCCACTGTGCCTGGCCCTCATTGTGGTTTTAATTTGCATTTCTCTGATGATTAATGATGTTGGCCATTTTTTCATCAGAAAGACCTTTTTTTTTTTTTTTTTGAGATGGAGTCTTGCTCTGTCGCCCAGGCTGGAGTGCTGTGGCGCGATCTCAGCTCACTGCAAGCTCTGCCTTCCAGGTTCATGCCATTCTCCTGCCTCAGCCTCCCAAGTAGCTGGGACTACAGGCGCCCGCCACCACGCCCGGCTAATTTTTTGTATTTTTAGTAGAGATGGGGTTTCACCGTGTTAGCCAGGATGGTCTCGATCTCCTGACCTCGTGATCCACCTGCCTCGGCCTCCCAAAGTGCTGGGATTACAGGCATGAGCCACCGTGCCCGGCCTGAAAAGGCATTTTTGAGGCATTGTGGAAATGTGAACATGCCTGGATAGTGGGTGATATTAAGGAACTGTTTATTAGGGAACTGTTTTTTGGGGGTGCAGTAATTATGTTATGGTTATTTTTTGAAATATCTTTACCAGGCTGGGCAACATAGCAAGACTGTGTCTCTAAAAAAATTTTTTTTAATTAGCTGGGGGTGGTGGTGCACGCCTGTAGTCCCAGCTACTAACTTAGGAGGTCATGGCGGGAGGATCGCTTGAGTGTAGGAGTTTGAAGCTGCGGTGAGCCACGATCAAACCACTGCCCTCTACTGCACTTCACTCTGGGCAACAGGGCAAGACCCTGCCTCAAAAAAAAAATTGTATTAAACTATATTAGAATGACATGCTAAAGCACTTATAAGTAAAATGATACGTCTGGTATTTGCTTAAAAATTCTCTAGTAAAAAGAAAAAAAGCGGAGGTGGGGGGAATAGGCCAAAAAGGATGGCAGAAGGTAGAGAATTCACTGATGGACAGGTATATGGGGGTATATATGGGGTATATGGGGGCTTATTCTACTTTTGTGAGTTTTTGAGAATTCCCATAATAGAAACAATTAAAAAAAAATTTTTTTTTGAGACAGGGTCTCTCTGTCGACCAGGCTGGAGTGCAGTGGTATGACCTCGGCTTACTGCAACCTCCACCTACCAGGTTCAAGCAATTCATGTGCCTCAGCCTCCTGAGTAGCTGTGATTACAGATGTCCAGAGTAATTTCTGAATTTTTAGTAGAGTTGGGGTTTCACCATGTTGGCCAGGCTGTTCTTGAACTTCTGACCTCACGTGATCCACCTGCCTCGGCCTCTCAAAGTGCCGGGATTACAGGCCTGAGCTACCACGCTGGCCTAGAAACCAGTTGTAAATCCTCCTTTGCTTTTTCCTCTCTGAGGTATTTTCCTGCTAAAGAGCAAGGTTGAGCACTTCACACTTTATCTCAAAGTGTCTTTGAAGAGTAAAGCAAATCTCTCAACAGAGTATTCCAAGATAAAGAACAGCCATCTCCAAATTCATGCCACAGTGAGGAACTGTGCTAGGTCAGGAGACTGTTTGGAGCCCGGGACACTGGGGGTTAACAGCCTGTGCCTGGCAGCTGAGTGTCCCCACAGCTGCCAGCAATTAGACTAGCTGGCAGTCCCCTTAGGAAACTCCTGCTGCCTGATGAGGACTAATTGCTTGCCGGCGTCTAAGTCCCCAATCGATAGAAATGGAAATCCATTAGGGAAAGGCTGGCGGGAGGGACTGCCTTCTGGGGAGGGTGCAGCCCTGCAGAGGCACAGGCCTGGCCAGGGTGGGTGCTGCCAACACTGCCAACACACCCTACCGTGGGTGCTGCCAACGCACCGTCCCTGGAAAACCACCCAGTGAAACGCTGTCCCCTAGAGAGTGTTCCTTTCCTCCTGACTGTGGTCTACCACTGAAGAAGCCTGTCTGCCCAACGTGGCATTACCACAATTGCTTCTCAGAGAAACAAACCACGTGTCCTGGGAGAGTGGCAGAGGCCAAGGTCAGTGCAGACAGGGATGCTCTGTAAGGTTCGGTGCAGCTAAGCAAGGGGGCTTAGCTGAGCTTTGAGTCAGGCAGTTTTCTGTAATAAGCAGACTCAGTGCAGTGACTCGTAAGCAGCTACTGAAAATCCATACTTCAGATCCCTGTCAGTTAGAAATTGTGTCCACACACCAGAGAGAATGGCAGTTTTCATGGGAATTATTTCAACCAATGATATGCTGGTTTCGGAGAAAACAAAGATGAGTAGGACCTGGTCCTTACCTTAAAGAATCCTACCATCCATGCAAGTTCAAAAACAACGTGATTCCAGAGGGACAGTTTAAAATGCTTATGAGAACAAAATAAAATGAGGATTTCTAATCCCACCACCACCACCAAATCTTCTCACTTAATTGATTTTTTGGTTAAAACTACCCCTCCCACTCACAAGGAGTTTTGTTTTCAACCTATTTGGAAATTCAAGGCTATTATAATGAAGTATGTATTGTATTATTTGAGAAAATACATTTGTGAGCTTACTTTAGATAAGTTGCACAAGTTGGATACGGGTCACATAAAAAGTTCTTTCTTATCAGGAGTTCAGGAACAAAAAGTCCCTCTGTAAGATTATATATAAAGATTATATTCAATTCAAACTGTGATTTTGTTTCTCCAGAAATAACATGCTTGTTGTTAAGAGTTTATGAAAATTAGACGAGAAAAGAACCACAGTATTATTTTGCAACTTTGTGCAGAGGCAGATTCTTGTCCCTCTTGCACTACAATTGCCAGAATTCTGAACAGGGGCCGGGCACGGTGGCTCATGCCTGTAATCCCAGCACTTTGGGAGGCCAAGGTGGGTGGATTGCCCAAGCTCAGGGGTTCAAGACCACCCTGGGCTACATGGCGAAACCCCATCTCTTCTAAAAGTACAAAAATTAGCTGGATGTGGTGGTGAGTGCCTGTAGTCCCAGCTACGGGGGAGGCTGAACGCAGGAGAATTGCTTGAACTGGGGAGGCGGAGGTTGCAGTGAGCTGAGATTGCAGCACTGCACTCCAGCCTGGGTGGCAGAGCAAGATTCCATCTCAAAAAAAAAAAAAATAATTCTGAATGCAATTGAAGTAAAACTATTGTAAAGTTAAAAAATGAAGTGAAATGTGTTCTTGTTATTGACCTCAAATATAATCTAGAACAACCTGTGTAAGCACTTAAAGCATTTGCTTTTAAGGCATTGGATTCACAATCAGGTTCATTGCAAATGATCCACTCATTAAAAGAAGGTCTGGCACCCGCAACTCATTTAAGTTGTATGTGTGTGTTAAAGGAACACTGAAACTGCATTTCTGTTAAAACATTGATTCATATTTTCCCAAACTAGTACCGTATGACTTTTCAATGTAGACTTAAGGCAATTTCAAATACCAATTACCACATTATAGAGAAATCCTTAAAATTTCACCAGTGTTTTCTTTTAGAATAAGTGCTGCAGACGGGCACGGAAGAGACGCCTGTGGAAATGATCTGGATTTCACTGTACAGTTATGTCTCTGAGGCTATTGCCTATCAAACCACTTTTTGTTTAGGAGGTTGCTTAATGGGAGTCAATTCTTAGTATTCTTCCGTGCTGCTGAACAGGGTGAGGTCATGCAGGAAGCCGAAAGGGACAGATGAATTTCAGTGACAGAGCTCAGGAGGCCATCAGGAGAACAGACCTTGTCAGTGACTTGCAAATTCACTTGTTTAAAGTGTATTTTTTTAAATGTTTTCATAAAATAGCCTGATTATAAAGTAAGGAGACTGGTTTTAGAAACTTCAAAAGAAAGCAAATCTCATTGTTCTATGCTCAAAACCTATACTTTGTCATTTGATCCAAAGGAAGACATGTATTACTTATTACTGTGTTGGTCAATAAGAGGGGAAGAAGGAAAAGAAAGTGATCTGTAGGAGATGACACAATTGATGAACAGCAGGGCTGCTCTGACAACCTGATTCTATCAATTTCTAATTCAGTGCTCATCCTTTACTTTTTTTTTTTTTTTTTTTTTTGAGATGGAGTCTTGCTCTGTCACCCAGGCTGCAGTGCAGTGGCATGATCTCGGCTCACCTCAACCTCTGCTTCCCGAGTTCAAGTGATTCTCCTGCCTCAGCCTCCTGAGTAGCTGGGATTACAGGCATGCGCCACCATGCCCGGCTAATTTTTGTATTTTAGTAGAGACCGGGTTTCACCATGTTGGTCAGGCTGGTCTCAAACTCCTGACCTCGTGATTCACCTACCTCAGCCTTGCAAAGTTCTGGGATTACAAGCGTGAGCCACCGTGCCTGGCCATTGGTGCCTTTTTAAGGAGAACCCAGAGAACAGCCTTGCCCCTTCCACCATGTGAGGTTACAATGAGAAGGCTTCATCTGTGGACCAGAAAGCAGGCCCTCACCAGATATCCAACCTGCCAGAAATAAATTTATGTTGTTTATAAGCCACCTAATTTATGGCATTTTGCTGTAGTAGCCCAAATAGACTAAGACAACCACCAAGTTCTTCTGGGAGGGAGGGCCTAGACCAAAATAGATCTATTTTTGATTTTTTTTTTTTTTTTGAGACGGAGTTTCGCTCTTGTTGCCCAGGCTGGAGTGCAATGGCGTGATCTCAGCTCACTGCAACCTCTGCCTCCTGAGTTCAAGCGATTCTCCTGCCTCAGCCTCCTGAGTAGCTGGGACTATAGGCACGCGCCACCATGCCCGGCTAATTTTGTATTTTTAGTAGAGATGGGGTTTCTCCATGTTGGTCAGGCTGGTCTCGAATTCCCGACCTCAGGTGATCCGCCTGCCTAGGCCTCCCGAAGTGCTGCGATTACAGGCGTGAGCCACCGCGTCTGCCCCTCTATTTTTGATTTTAACTCAACTCATTTGTTTCTGTTCTTGGGTAGAGAGCATAATCTCTGAATCTCAGAGTGTCAAATATTAAAAGAGGACACTGTTCTCAGAAGGTTGCTTGGTGCGGGGAGGGGGATGCATATGTAGTGTCTTGCAAGTGTTTACATCAGAAATCATCCTTAACTACACACAGTATTAACTGGAGAGAAGCAGAGCCATGGAAGATACATATGAAACTAGGAGAAACTTTAGCTTGGACAATGAATATTTGGAAGGTGGAAGCTTGTGAATGGCCCTGAAGTAGAAAGACCTTGAAGTTATTTCTTCCTTGCCTGTGGCATGTCCATAACGAACCTATTTTAGAGGAAGACCAAATTTTGTTTCCTAGATGGCCACTTTTTTTTTTTTTTAAGACAGAGTTTCACTCTTATTGCCCAGGCTGGAGTGCAATGGCGCGATCTCGGCTCACCGCAACCTCCGCCTCCTGGATTCAAGCGATTCTCCTGCCTCAGCCTCCCTAGTAGCTAGGATTACAGGCATGTGCCACCACGCCTGGCTAATTTTTGTATTTTAGTAGAGACGGGATTTCTCCATGTTGGTCAGGCTGGTCTCGAACTCCCGACCTCAGGTGATCCGCCCACCTCGGCCTCCCAAAGTGCTAGGATTACAGGCGTGAGCCACCGTGCCCAGCCTGATTGCCACTTTCGTAGGGAAGAACAATGACAAAGGAAGAAGGATTAGACTGCCAGCAAAAATGTGACACTCTAAAATGGGTGTACTGCCTAACACATCCTCCAGGGTTATCTCAGGCTTTCTTTTTCCTTTTTTTTTAATTTTTTTTCGTATCTCAGGCTTTCTTTTTACTTGAATTATTTCATAAGTTTATAAATTATAAAAAAAGGTAGAAATATGAATAACTTGTCCAGAGAAATGGAAATGAACTTTTTTGGTGGTGGAGATGCAACTGATTATTGCCTTGTGGGATACTGACCAGTTTTGCACTGTTAGGAAATTTATTTCTGCATTCTTGACTGCCTGTATATGTGTGTTATTTGACTTCTCTTTGAACCAGCTATAACATCTTATTGGTTCCCTCATGAAACTGTGAGTTTAGTAAAATCTTTGACATGTGTTTATTATATTTATATTTCTATGAGTGTCACAATTTTATCCTTTAGATAATTATTGTTGAAATAGTTCTCAGGCCAGGAGCAGTGGCTCACGCCTATAATCCCAGCAGGCGAGCTGGGATTTGGGAGGCCAAGGCAGGTAGATTGCTTGAGCTCAGGAGTTGGAGACCAGTGTGGATAACATGGCAAAATCCTGTCTCTATAGAAAATGTAAAAATTAGCCTGGCATGGTAGTGCGTGGCTGTGGTCCCAGCTACTTAGGAGACTGAGGTGGGAAGGTCACTTGAGCCTCGGAGGTGGAGGATGCAGTGAGCTGAGATTAGGCCACTGCACTCCAGCCTAGATAACATAGATAACAGAGCGAGACTCTGTTTAAAAAAAAAAAAAAAAAAATAGGCCAGGCGTGGTGGCTTACGCCTGTAATCCCACCATTTTGGGAGGCCAAAGTGGGTGGATCACCTGAGGTCAGGAGTTTGAGACCAGCCTGACCAACATGGTAAAACCCCGTGTCTACTGAAAATAAAAAATTAGCTGGGCATGGTGGCGGGTACCTGTAGTCCCAGCTACTTGGGAGGCTGAGGCAGGAGAATTGCTTGAACCCAGGAGGCGGAGGTTGCAGTGAGTCAAGATCACACCACTGCACTTCAGCCTGGGTGACAGAGTGAGACTCCATAAAAAAAAATATATATGTATTGTGGGATAGAATTTTAGCTAGGTGTTTCATCTTTATAACTGCTGTTAAATGCCACTGTGGGTCACAGGTAAATCTTTGCCTGTGATGTAAAAGTCCCAATATTTGTTGGTTGGAATAATCTCCAATGCAGTGAATTCACATCTGTGGAGCATGTAACACGTCACTTCCTGATCTTGTCCTGTTTTTTCATCACAAAGAAATTATTATTGGAAAGGAAGGGGGCTGAGTTCTATTTTGTGTTGGGGAAGTAACAGGGATGCCTGGTAGGGAGAAGGCCCAATAGCCCCATGGGCCAGAGCATGAAGAGGAGAAAGAGAAAAAGAACTTCAGGAATAGGGTAGATCTAGGGCAATCCTGAGAGGTCTGAGAATCCCAGATTCTCTAGAGCAAGGATTCTCAAAGTGCAATCCCAGGCCAACTTCAGCGGCACCTGGGAGCCTGTTAGAAATGTGGAATCTCAGCCGGGCACAGTGGCTCACGCCTGTAATCCCAGTACTTTGGGAAGCCAAGGTGGGTGGATCACGAGGTCAGGAGATGGAGACCATCCTGGCTAACATGGTGAAACCCTGTCTCTACTAAAAATACAACAAATTAGCCGGGCGTGGTGGCGGGGACCTGTAATCCCAGCTACTCAGGAGGCTGAGGCAGGAGAATGGCGTGAACCCAGGAGGCGGAGCTTGCAGTGAGTCGAGATCACGCCACTGCACTCCAGCCTGGGCGACTGAGCGAGACTCCGTCTAAAAAAAAAAAAAAGAAAAAGAAATGTGGAATCTCAGCCAGGGCGGTGGCTCATGCCTGTTATCCCAGCACTTTGGGAGGCCAAGGCTAGTGGACCACCTGAGGTCAGGAGTTCGAGACCAGCCTGGCCAACATGGAGAAACCCCTGTCTTTACTAAAAATACAAAAATTAGCTGGGCGTGGTGGTGGGTGCTTGTAATCCCAGCTACTCGGGAGGCTGAGGGGGGAGAATTGCTTGAACACGGGAGGCGGAGGTTGCAGTGAGCCAAGATTGCCCCATTGCACTCCTGCCTGGGTGACAAAGCAAAACTCCGTCTCAAAGAGAAAAGAAAAGAAAAGAAATGTAGAATCTCAGGCCTCGCCCCAGATACTGAATCAAAGTCTGCATTTAATGAGGTCACCTGGTAATTTGTATTCACATGAAGTTTGAGAAGCACTAGTAGAAAACAAGAGTTTTACCGTTTTGTGTCCTAATGGTCTTGCCTTATTTAGGACTCTATAATAGAGTCACCCTAAAATGCACTTGGACTTGGGAAGTACTTGGAACAGGGCTCATGATCACATAGAATAAAGTGGTTCCTTATGCTGTCTATCCCTGTGTTAGCTCACAGCTGGCCCCCAAGACTCAGTCAAGGAGTATTTAATAAGTCCTGTAAGCAAAGTACTAAGACATATGTTATGAAGAATATATTTTATTTTTATATTATTTAATTAAATTATTCATTTTTGGAGAAAGGGTCTCACTCTATCACCCAGGCTGGAGTGCAGTGGCACAATCTTGGCTCACTGCAGACTTGACCTCCTGGGCTCAAGCCATCCTTCAGACTCCAAGTAGCTGGGACCACAGGCATGTGCTACCATGCCTGGCTAATTTTTTATTTTGTGTGAAGACGAGGTTTCGCCATACTGCTCAGGCTGCTCTCAAACTCCTGGGCTCCAGCAATCCTCCCGCCTCAGCCTCTCAAATTGCTGGGACTACAGGCATGAGCCACTATGCCAGCCAAAGAATATATATATATATATATATATATGTGTGTGTGTGTGTGTATATATATATATATATACACACACACACACACATATATATATATAATTTTTTTTTATGAAACCTCAGTTTTTGTGCCAGAGACACGCCATCCTCAAATGAGGAAATAATCTAGCTGTTAGCCTATGCTAAGGTTAGTCTCCACACTAACTCTCTAATTGGACTTTTTTAGATTCTAACATGAGTAGCTACCATGAGAAATGAGGCATGTTGCTTTACTCAATGTTTCATTCAACCAAATGTGCAATACATCCTATTACATTTGTTCTTACTCTGTGCGCACTCTATTCTTCATTAGACGAATCCAATTTAAATAAGACATTGAAAATTTAAGAATAGTTTCAGAAGCTCTCTGCTAAGTAAATGCAAGTTCAATTTTAAGACAATACTGTATAAAGAAAACAATAATAATGGGTGTGGACAGCTGAAAAAATGCTATACAGAGGACTGTACTAATTACTTCAAGATTATCCAGAGAAAGAAATTATATCATTTACCAATGAATTTGATTGTCTTTCAAAATGGTCAGACTACAGTTTCTTTTCTGCCTATACTGGCCAGGAGTAACCAGCTGGCATGAACCAACCAAGAGGCATTCATTATTGAGTGCCTATTGTATAACAAACACTGGGGAAGATATCCAAGCAGAGGATACAAAATTTGTTTTCCAGGGGTTTACAGTCTGGACTGGGAGAAAAAGTACATACACATAAAAAATACGAGTCTTAAATGGAGGATGCAGACAAGTGCAGAAGCCAGCTCTGGCCCAGGATGATCGGGAAAGCATCACAGAACATGTAGGATTTGAGCTGGGTCTTGAAGCTCAACCTAGGTGGAGCAAAATGATAGACTCAGTGGCCGCCTTGAGTGACATACTCTCCCTCAGACATGGTGCTTGTGCTGCTTTTCCCAAAAGAAAGGTTTTCTTATGACCTTCCCATATCTGAAGTCCAATTCTAAAGTCCAAGTCTGTTATACTAGGGTATTAGCCATCCTGTAAAGAAAGCGATCATTTTGGGTGATGTATTAGTCTGTTCTCATACTGCAATAAAGAACTTCCTGAGATTAGGTAATTTATGAAGAAAAAAGGTTTTTGTTTTGTTTTGTTTTGTTTTTGAGATGGAGTCTCACTCTTGTCGCCCAGACTGGAGTGCAATGGTGCCATCTCAGCTCACTGCAAACTCTGCCTCCTGAGTTTAAGCGATTCTCCTGTCTCAGCCTCCCCAGTAGTTGGGATTATAGGTACGTGCCACCACGCCTGGCTAATTTTTGTATTTTTAGTAGAGACGGGGTTTCACTATGTTGGCCAGGCTGGTCTCGAACTCCTGACCTCAGGTGATCCACCCGCCTTGGCCTCTCAAAGTGTTGGGATTACAGGAGTGAGCCACCGCGCCTGGCCTCATTTTTATTCTTTAATTTTTTATTTCTTTTGGAAAAAGGGTCTCGCTGTGTCTCCCAGACTAGAGTGCAGTGGTGTGATCTCAGCTTACTGCAACCTCTGCCCCCTGAACTCAAGCAGTTCTCACACCTCAGCCTCCCAAGTAGCTGCGGCTACAGATGTGTGCCACCAGGCCTGGCTAATTTTTGTATTTTTAGTAGAAACAGGGTTTCACCATGTTGGCCAGGCTGGTCTCGGACTCCTGACCTCAAATGATCTGCCCACCCCAGCCTTCCAAAGTGCTGGGATTACAGACGTGAGCCGCCGCGCCTGGCCACCACATACTTTTAAACCATCAGATCTCATGAGAACTCACTCACTATCATGAGAAAGGCAAGGGGGAGGCCAGGTGTGGTGGCTCATGCCTGTAATCCCAGCACTTTGGGAGGCTGAGGCCAGCGGATCACCTGAGGTCGGGAGTTCGAGACCAGCCCGACCAACATGGAGAAACCCTGTCTCTACTAAAAATACAAAATTAGCCGAGTGTGGTGGCGCATGCCTGTAATCCCAGCTACTTGGGAGGCTGAGGCAGGAGAATTGCTTGAACCCGGGAGGCGGAGGTTGCAGGTGAGCCGAGATGGTGCCACTGCACTCCAGCCTGGGCAACGAGAGCAAAACTCCGTCTCAAAAAAAAAAAAAAAAAAAAAAGACCAGCAAGGGAGAAATCTGTCCCCATGATCCAGTCACCTCCCACCAGGTGCCTCCTCCAATTCGACAGGAGATTTGGATGGGGACACAACGATAACACATGATAACTTAGCTAACATGGCAGGGAGCTTTGTCCACTTACTTGGCCAAAATGCTAATTTATTAACTTCATTTTATTATCGTTGGGGATTTTTTCCCCTTCTCCTCTGGCCAAGCACAACTCTAGTTGAAAACAATAACGTGAAGCTATACAGCAACCTCTCCCCACCCCTTTAATTACATGTTTACTATGCACTCCGGGGCCATGCTCTTCACACACAGGGCTTCATAAATATTGCAGGCAGACGGATTAACTAAAAGAACTGTCTGGTGAAGCTCTCTAGCCTATATTTTCTAGGTTACAAGAAGAGAAAGTATTCAACAGCAAAAGAAGGAAAAGAAGTCTGGGCTATGATTGCCTGTTGGCTTTTATAGTACTAGCAGCAGCATGTTATTTTGTTTCTCAATCAACCTAACTTACTTGAAAGCTAAATTTAAAAGAAGAGGTCTCTAATAGTGGACTAAAAACTAATTTTCAAAAGATTAAAAGCATCTCATACAAATATAAAATGAGGCTGGGCGTGGTGGCTCATTCCTGTAATCCTAGCACTTTGGGAGCCTGAGGTGGGTGTTATCATTTCAGCCCAGGAGTTCAAGACCAGCCTGGGAAACATGGCGAGACCCCATCTCTACAAAAGATAAAAAAATTAGCAGGTGTAGTGGCTCATGCGTACAGTCCCAGCTGCTCTGGACACTGAGGTGGGAGGATCACTGGGTCCAGGAGGTTGTGGCTGCAGTGAGCTGTGATCATGCCTCTGCATTCCAGCAGAGGCAACAGAGTGAGACCCTGTCTCAAAAGAACAAAACAAAAAATATATATAAAATGAACATGTGGTCAAACATTGTATTCAATTTGTTAGTTAATGAGGGAATTGTAAAAGACTAGGTTCAAATAAGAATTTGAGGAGGTAGGTATTTATAACAATGTAATAAAGAAATGTTAGATGATTATTATTTTCCTTTTTTTTTTTTTTTCTTTTTTGGAGACAGAATCTCACCCTGTCACCCAGGCTGGAGTGCGGTGGCGCCATCTCAGCTCACTGCAGACTCCGCCTCCCAGGTTCAAGCAGTTCTCTGCCTCAGCCTCCCAAGTAGCTGGGATTACAGGCACCCACCACCATGCCTGGCTAATTTTGTATTTTTAGTAGAGACAGGGTTTCACCATTTTGGCCAGGCTGGTCTCAAACTCCTGATCTTGTGATCCACCCACCTCAGCCTCCCAAAGTGCTGGGATTACAGGTGTGAGCCCCCGCACCCGGACGAAATGTTATATTCTTTATACGATCAGTAGGTTAGATATAAAACTATTTAATGTCATACAGGGCCATAAGCCACAACCTCTGGGGTTATCTTTCCCAATGAGCAGAAATGACTTCCATCTCTAGCTGGACAAGAACCTACAAGTTAACCTCTGCGCCTACAGAGCTGTCAGATAACCCGGTTATTAGACAGTCAGTCAAAGGAACAAGCCCAGCAGTGCACTGAAAGAACACCTAGTGTATTAGGCTGTTGTTGGACTGCTATAAAGAAGTACCTGAGACTGGGCAATTGATGAAAAAAGAGGTTTAATTGGCTCAGGGATGTGCAGGCTGTACAGGAAGCATAGCAGCTTCTGCTTCTCCGGAGGCCTCAGGAAACTTCCAGTCAAGGCGGAAGAAGAAGGGGAAGTGGGCTCATCACATGGGGAAGCAGGAACAAGGGGGTGGGGGGCGGAGGTGCCACACGCTTTCAAACGACCAGGTCTCGGCAGGGCGCGGTGGCTCACGCCTGTAATCCTAGCACTTTGGGAGGCCGAGGCGGGCAGATCACAAGGTCAGGAGAGCGAGACCATCCTGGCTAACACCGTGAAACCCCGTCTCTACTAAAAATACAAAAAATTAGCCAGGCACGGTGGTGGGCGCCTGTAGTCCCAGCTACTTGGGAGACTGAGGCAGGAGAATGGCGTGAACTCGGGAGGCAGAGCTTGCAGTGAGCTGAGTTTGCGCCACTGCACTCGCCTGGGTGACAGAGCGAGACTCCGTCTCAAAACAAACAAACAAAAAAAACAGGCCAGGTCTCCTGTGAGCTCAGGGCTCAAGCTCCCTTATCACCAAGGGGCCAGCCCAAGCCATTCATGAGGGATCCACCGCCATAATCCAAACACCTCCCTCCAATCCCCACCTCCAACACTGAGGATTACTTTTCCACATGAGATCTGGGCAGGGACAAATACCCAAACCGTATCGCTTAGGAATCTTGCGTGTCTCCTTCCAAGTTTTGAATAATTTCTCTGGCATTGAGAAGAGGCTCTCAAAAGGCAATGGCGAAGGTCCAGCATCAATATTAGAATAGTATGCAGATCTTTATAATGAAGATGACACTGTATCCACTATAAAAGAACATTGTCAAGAGAGGTACTCATCTTGTACAGTTTGAGGAAACACAATTTAAGTAATGACCAGACTCAGAGAAGTAGGGCAAAAACAATATTCCAGTGAACAGTAATGGGTGCAGAGGTCACCTACATGACAACCTCAATGACCTGGAACCCCGTTGAGAGCCAATCTAGTTATAAACTTAAAGTGTATTTAAGTCCAGTTTTAGATTTAATCCTAATGATTTTACTCATCTGGAGAATGCTAGCCATAGTCATACAGCAGCAGAGATATGCCATTATAAAGAAATACATAATCTATAAGCATCTAGGCCCATTTAGTTATAGCCTATAGCCTTGTAAACCAGCATCTTTTCTTTTTTCTTTTATTATTATTATTACTTTTTATTATACTTTAAGTTCTAGGGTACCTGTGCACAAAGTGCAGGTTTGTTCCATATGTATACATGTGCCATGTTGGTGTGCTGCACCCATTAACTCATCATTTAACATTAGGTATATCTCCTAATGCTATCCCTCCCCCCTCCCCCCACCCCACGACAGGCCCCAGTGTGTGATGTTCCCCTTCCTGTGTCCAAGTGTTCTCGTTGTACAACTCCCACCTATGAGTGAGAACATGTGGTGTTTCGTTTTCTGTCCTTGCGATAGTTTGCTGAGAATGATGGTTTCCAGCTTCATCCATGTCCCTACAAAGGACATGAACTCATCCTTTTTTATGGCCGCATAGTATTCCATGGTGTATATGTGCCACATTTTCTTAATCCAGTCTATCATTGATGGACATCTGGGTTGGTTCCAAGTCTTTGCTATTGCGAATAGTGCCACAGTAAACATACGTGTGCATGTGTCTTTATAGCAGCATGATTTACAATCCTTTGGGTATATAGCCAGTAATGGGATGGCTAGGTCAAATGGTATTTCTAGTTCTAGATCCTTGATGAATCACCACACTGACTTCCACAATGGTTGAACTAGTTTACAGTCCCACCAACAGTATAAAAGTGTTCCTATTTCTCCACATCCTCTCCAGCACCTGTCGTTTCCTGACTTTTTAATGATCGCCATTCTAAATGGTGTGAGATGGTATCTCATTGTGGTTTTGATTTGCATTTCTCTGATGGCCAGTGATGATGAGCATTTTTTCATGTGTTTTTTGGCTGCATAAGTGTCTTCTTTTGAGAAGTGTCTGTTCATATACTTCGCCCACTTGTTGATGGGGTTGTTTGTTTTTTTCTTGTAAATTTGTTTGAGTTCATTGTAGATTCTGGATATTAGCCCTTTGTCAGATGAGTAGGTTGCAAAAATTTTCTCCCATTCTGTAGGTTGCCTCTTCACTCTGATGGTAGTTTCTTTTGCTGTGCAGAAGCTGTTTAGTTCAATTAGATCCCATTTGTCAATTTTGGCTTTTGTTGCCATTGCTTTTGGTGTTTTAGACATGAAGTCCTTGCCCATGCCTATGTCCTGAATGGTATTGCCTAGGTTTTCTTCTAGGGTTGGGTTTTTATGGTTTTAGGTCTAACATTTAAGTCTTTAATCCATCATGAATTAATTTTTGTATAAGGTGTAAGGAAAGGATCCAGTTTCAGCTTTCTACATATGGCTTGCCAGTTTTCCCAGCACCATTTATTAAATAGGGAATCCTTTCCCCATTGCTTGTTTTTCTCAGGTTTCTCAAAGATCAGATAGTTGTAGATATGCGGCATTATTTCTGAGGGCTCTTTTCTGTTCCATTGGTCTGTATCTCTGTTTTGGTACCAGTACCATGCTGTTTGGGTTACTGTAGCCTTGTAGTATAGTTTGAAGTCAGGTAGCGTGATGCCTCCAGCTTTGTTCTTTTGGCTTAGGATTGACTTGGCGATGCAGGCTCTTTTGTGGTTCCATATGAACTTTAAAGTAGTTTTTTCCAATTCTGTGAAGAAAGTCCTTGGTAGCTTGATGGGGATGGCATTGAATCTATAAATTACCTTGGGCAGTATGGCCATTTTCACGATATTGATTCTTCCTACCCATGAGCATGGAATGTTCTTCCATTTGTTTGTATCCTCTTTTATTTCATTGAGCAGTGGTTTGTAGTTCTCCTTGAAGAGGTCCTTCACGTCCCTTGTAAGTTTGTACAAAAATCACAAGCATTCTTATACACCAATAACAGACAAACAGAGAGCCAAATCATGAGTGAACTCCCATTCACAATTGCTTCAAAGAGAATGAAATATCTAGGAATACCCTTTATTTCTTTCTCCTGGCTGATTGCCCTGGCCAGAACTTCCAACACTATGTTGAATAGGAGTGGTGAGAGAGGGCATCCCTGTCTTGTGCCAGTTTTCAAAGGGAATGCTTCCAGTTTTTGCCTATTCAGCATGATATTGGCTGTGGGTTTGTCATAAATAGCTCTTATTATTTTGAGATATGTCCCATCAATACCTAATTTATTGAGAGTTTTTAGCTTGAAGGGCTGCTGAATTTTGTCAAAGGCCTTTTCTGCATCTATTGAGACAATCATGTGGTTTTTGTTTTTGGTTCTGTTTATATGCTGGATTATGTTTATTGATTTGTGTATGTTGAACCAGCCTTGAATCCCAGGGATGAAGCCCACTTGATCATGGTGGATAAGCTCTTTGATGTGCTGCTGGATTCGGTTTGCCAGTATTTTATTGAGGATTTTTGCATTGATGTTCATCAGGGATATTAGTCTATAATTCTCTTTCTTTGTTGTGTCTCTGCCAGGCTTTGGTATCGGGATGATGTTGGCCTCATAAAATGAGTTAGGGAGGATTCCCTCTTTTTCTATTGATTGGAATAGTTTCAGAAGGAATGGTACCAGCTCCTCCTTGTACCTCTGGTAGAATTCGGCTGTGAATCCGTCTGGTCCTGGACTTTTTTTGGTTGGTAGGCTATTAATTATTGCCTCAATTTCAGAGCCTGTTATTGGTCTATTTAGGGATTCAACTTCTTCCTGGTTTAGTCTTGGGAGGGTGTATGTGTCCAGGAATTTATCCATTTCTTCTAGATTTTCTAGTTTATTTGCGTAGAGGTGTTTATAGTATTCTCTGATGGTAGTTTGTATTTCTGTGGGATCAGTGGTGATATCCCCTTTATCATTTTTTATTGTGTCTATTTGATTCTTCTCTCTTTTCTTCATTAGTCTTGCTAGCGGTCTATCAATTTTGTTGATCTTTTCAAAAAAACAAGTTCCTGGATTCATTGATTTTTTGAAGGGCTTTTTGTGTCTCTATCTCCTTCAGTTCTGCTCTGATCTTAGTTATTTCTTGCCTTCTGTTATCTTTTGAATATGTTTGCTCTTGCTTCTCTAGTTCTTTTAATTGTGATGTTAGGGTGTCAATTTTAGATCTTTCCTGCTTTCTCTTGTGGGCATTTAGTGCTATAAATTTCCCTCTACACACTGCTTTAAATGTGTCCCAGAGATTCTGGTATGTTGTGTCTTTATTCTCATTGGTTTCAAACAACTTCTTTATTTCTGCCTTCATTTCGTTATGTACCCAGCAGTCATTCAGGAGCAGCTTGTTCAGTTTCCATGTAGTTGAGTGGTTTTGAGTGAGTTTCTTAATCCTGAGTTCTAGTTTGAT
This sequence comes from Homo sapiens, assembly GCF_000001405.40. NCBI lineage: Eukaryota > Metazoa > Chordata > Mammalia > Primates > Hominidae > Homo > Homo sapiens. Next base: position 152,630,202 of record NC_000007.14, read on the forward strand.
TGCACTGTGGTCTGAGAGACAGTTTGTTATAATTTCTGTTCTTTTACATTTGCTGGGGAGTGCTTTACTTCCAACTATGTGGTCAATTTTGGAATAAGTGCGATGTGGTGCTGAGAAGAATGTATATTCTGTTGATTTGGGGTGGAGAGTTCTGTAGATGTCTATTAGGTCTGCTTGTTGCAGAGCTGAGTTCAATTCCTGGATATCCTTGTTAACTTTCTGTCTCATTGATCTGTCTAATGTTGACAGTGGGGTGTTAAAGTCTCTCATTATTATTGTGTGGGAGTCTAAGTCTCTTTGTAAGTCTCTAAGGACTCGCTTTATGAATCTGGGTGCTCCTGTATTGGGTGCATATATATTTAGGATAGTTAGCTCTTCTTGTTGAATTGCTTTATAATGATCCCTTTACCATTATGTAATGGCCTTCTTTGTCTCTTTTGATTTTTGTTGGTTTAAAGTCTGTTTTATCAGAGACTAGGATTGCAACCCCTGCCTTTTTTGTTTTCCATTTGCTTGGTAGATCTTCCTCCATCCCTTTATTTTGAGTCTATGTGTATCTCTGCATGTGAGATGGGTCTCCTGAATACAGCACACTGATGGGTCTTGACTCTTTATCCAGTTTGCCAGTCTGTGTTTTTTAATTGGGGCATTTAGCCCATTTACATTTAAGGTTAATACTGTTATGTGTGAATTTGATCCTGTCATTATGATGTTAGCTGGTTATTTTGCTTGTTAGTTGATGCAGTTTCTTCTTAGCATCAATGGTCTTTACATTTTGGCATGTTTTTGCAGTGGCTGGTAAACCAGCATCTTATAGTAGAATCCTATCCATCATCTTTATATGTTCATGTCAATTGCTAAAAATTGTAAATTGTTTTTCAGTAAACTCTACTTGAAAAGTATGCACTGTCAAATCCCGTCTCTACTAAAAATACAAAAATTAGCCGGGCTTGGTGGCACATGCCTGTAATCCCAACTACTCAGGAGGCTGAGGCAGGAGAATCAGTTGAACCCAGGAGGTGGAGGTTACAGTGAGCCAAGATAGCACCATTGCATTCCAGCCTGGGCAACAGAGTGAGACTCCATTTAAAAAAAAAAAGTATGCAGATAAGCCAGGCGAGGTGGTTCATGCCTGTAATATCAGCACTTTGGGAGGCTGAGGCGGGTGGATCGCTTGTGTCCAGGAGTTCGAGACCAGCCTGGGCAACATGGTGAAACCTCATCTTTACAAAAAATTAAAAAATTAGCCAGACAAGGCCGGTGCGGTGGCTCACGCCTGTAATCCCAGCACTTTGGGAGGCCGAGGTGGGCAGATCACCTGAGGTCAGGAGTTTGAGGCCAGCCTGGCCAACATGGTGAAACCCCATCTCTACTAAAAATATAAAAATTAGCCAGGTGTGGTTCAGGTACCTGTAATCCCAGCTACTCATGAGGCTGAGGCTGGAGAATCACTTGAACCCGGGAGGCGGAGGTTGCAGTGAGCTGAAATCATACTACTGTAATCCAGCCTGGGTGACAGAATGAGATTCTGTCTCAAAAAAAAAAAAAAATTAGCTGGACATGTGCCTGTAGTCCCAGCTACTATGGACGCTGAGGTGGGAGGATCGCCTTGGCCCTGGAGGCTAAGGCTGCAGTGAGCCATGATTGCAGCACTGCATTCCAGCCTGGGCAACAGAGTGAGACCCTGTCTCAGAAAAAAAAAAAAGTATGCAAACACATAATCCAGAAATATTTCTCTCAAAAATATTAAAAGATTTAAAAGCATTGGTAATTAAAGCACAAATCAAGCCCTTGTATTGAATATAGGCTCTGTTGTATTCATAGAAATGAAATATTGTTCCTGCTTTCAAAAAGCTTATAATAGGATAAATATCTTTGTAAACACATTTAATACAACAAAGTCTGAATGAAGTGCTAAATGTGTGCGTGGGAACACGGGATGGATGATTAAGTGACGCTTGAGTTAGAGGAAGTCAGGGAAGACTTCATGGTGAAAGGGTCATTTGAGCTGGGTCTTGAAGTATTTAATACCCATATGACCAGAAAATTCTCCAAAAGGAATGACTATGAATAAATGAAGAATTGCTGTAATATTTTTTCTCAAAATGATTCTAATTATGTAGAAAAATATATTAACATGATACTATAAACAAAGACAAGTGATAGATTGAGATAAAAATATTAAGATAACGCTGGGCGCAGTGGCTCATGCCTGTAATCCCAGCACTTTGGGAGGCCAAGGCGGGTGGATCACGAGGTTAGGAGTTCGAGACCAGGCTGACCAACATAGTGAAATCCTGTCTCTACTAAAAATAGAAAAATTAGCCAGGCATCGTGGCACACACCTGTAATCTCAGCTACTCAGGAGGCTGAGGCAGGAGAATCACTTGAACCCAGGAGGCAGAGGTTGCAGTGAGCTAGATGGCGGCACTGCACTCCAGCCTGGGCAACAGAGCGAGACTCCATCTCAAAAAAAAAAAAAAAATTAAGATAAACAGACCCATGTTGTAGACAATTCACAAAAGAAATAGAAATGGCCAATGCACATTGAAAATTGTATGTGATCTTGCTAATAAGCAAAGAAATGGAAAGCAGAATGGATACCATTTTGAACACAGGAGTATGACCAAGATTTTCCAGGAGAGATACTTGTGGTTTGCAAGTACATAAAGAAACTAATGTTTTCATATACAGTATAGGAATATAAACTGGCACAACTTTTAGAAATGCATTTTCAATACTAAGAATTTATCTTATGAAAATAATTAGACATTAGTACAAAGACTATATGTAAAGGTCATCAAAACACAGCAAGTTTTAAAGAGAAAAAGCAAAGAAATAGGCCGGGTGCAGTGGTTCACGCCTGTAATTTCAGCACTTTGGGAGGCTGAGGCAGGCAGATCACCTGAGGTCAGGAGTTCAAAGCCAGCCTGGGCAACATGGAGAAACCCTGACTCTACTAAAAATACAAAAATTAGCCAGGTGTGTTGGCGGATCCACAGGGGTGCATGACTGGGTCCACACAGCATCTCACCACGCTCAGCCGACTGCGTGGTCTCATGGGATGTCCTCAGTGACGTCACAGGAAATGCTGAAATGCTGCATTCAGGAGGAAGAAACTGACTTCCACGCTCCTTGTCTTCTTTTCCTGTCTCTCCTTAGTTAAGGTCAGCCCTAGAGGGAGTTCAGTCCCCTAAACTTTCAGGATGTGTCACCTCGCCACTCTAGGCAGCTATTGGGGAGGAAGGGCCCCTGGATGACCGGTGGGCAGGCACAGGCATTGGCTTTTCATTGTCTTCGAGGGTCCTTATTTGCAAGGCAGTGGTGGCAGCAAGCAGGAGTGGTTCTATAACCAAGGGAGGAACATGAGCCATGCAGTGTTGCTCCAGAAGCCGAGAGACCGCGGTGTGGAGAGGCAGGGGGTGAAAAGGGCGTGGCCATGTGGATTTTGGTTGGCACATAAACACTGGGTGGGACAGTCAACCCTTTGTACCACTCCAGTGTACTCACTTCCTCTTAATGATATCCAGATCTCACAGGAGAATAATCCTCTTACTTCTTCCCCACAAGAACAAATGAAAGCGTAATGTTAACAGAAGTGGCCGTGGATCTCCCAGGCATACCAAGATCCAGTCCCTGCTGCTGTGGCGGCTCCCAGCCCGTAACTGGTGTCTGTTATCTCCCTCCCACCATCCATTCCAGGTTGCCCCACTTTCAGCCAAACATTTTGGCTGGTCTGGCTCATTTGTCAGCTGAGGGGATCCAGACTTTCATCTGTAAGGGGTCCGAGCCCTTCATTGCCTTGCCCTTGCCTGGCACGGCTGCTTCACTTCCTCATTGACAGCTATCAGCGGGCATGGGAGCGTCACAGGAGATCCTCAGTTTACCTGAGACAGGGATTCTTCCCACCCATACCAGACCTTATTACGGCACACTGCTGCTGGAGGTGGAATCTTTTGAGCACCAAAAATAAGGGGTGGCAGGGTGAAGGGGATCAATTTAAAACACTGATGTCTCTGAGGATTCCTTTAATCAAAGAACCATGAACCCATAGTAGAGTTTCATGTTTTCCCCTTTCATAGGTTAAGGGTGGGCTATCTTTACACAGTGGGCCAGTGGAGAAAAGAACAGTTCTCTTAGTGACCTAGTATCTCTGATTATTTAGAATGCATCGCTTATGGGGAAAATACTGTGTGCAAAGAGGGAAGAGTAGAAATTACTGAAGGCAGTGGAGGCTTCATCCAGGCAATGACATGGCCAGCCTTGGTGGTTCTGTCTGTCTATCATCTATTTATCATCTGCGTATCTATCATCTATATATCTATTATCTATCTATCATCTACCTATCACCTATGTATCAATCTATCACCTATCTGTATCATCTATGTATCAATCTATCACCTATCTGTATCATCTATCATCTATGTATCAATCTATCATCTATATTACCTATCTATTGTCTATGTATCAATCATCTATTATCTATCATCTATCTATCTATCTATCTATCTATCTATCTATCTATCTATCTATCACCTATCAGCCACCCAGCTATCTATTCCATCCACCCCACCCACCCACCCATCCATTCAAGCATCTATCCATCCAATAATTAAAATATTCAAGATGTGTAGATAACATTTTGGAAAATGCCAGTTTCTTACAAAATGCATTTTCTCTGTAATTTCAGAGTTCCTGGTAATGGGAAAGAACTTGACAATTATGGTCGTTCACTTGTGTCTCAGTTGCATATTTTGCCCGACTACAAGGAAGAAGCGTGAAAATGCCCATGTTTTCTTTTGACAGATGAACTTTACCATTTCAAGTGAAAGGAACATAAACTCAAGGTAAGTTAATGTTTTATGTTGATGTTACAGTTTCATTAACTTTTAGATTGTAGGATATTAAAATCCATATTTATTTTTGAACTGAGGCAAGTCTCCTTCCTGATGTTACGGATCAGCTAATTATGTTCATTTATTCAGTCCTATTATGTACTTACTACATTTAGACCTAACTGACAGATCTTATTAAGAAATACGTTTCTGACACTTTTTGCTTTTTGTTACCCATTATTTATCAATATCTGAAATATTTAGGTTGTTTTGATGAATTGTGTCCTAGCTATTACAATTACTCAGTTACTTAATATTTGGAGTCTTAAGGTCATGGGAGAAAATAGTTCCTTTCTTTTTTGGTTTTTGAAACAAGGTCTTGGCTCTGTCACCCAGGCTGGAGTACAATGTTGCCATCATAGCTCACTGTAGCTTGGACTTCCTGGGCTCAAGTGATCCTCCCATCTCAGCCTCCTGACTAGCAGGGACCCTAGGCATGTGCCACTGCACCCAGCTAATTAAAAAAAATTTTTTTTTATAGAGACAGGGTTTTGCTATCTTGCCCAGGCTGGGGAGAAAATTTAAATTTATATGCATGTATTTGTTGCAGAGACCTGTGTCTGGGCCAACAAAGTCAATAAAGGACTTTCAAATATAAAAGGCATAATTATATCAGATTAAAATTCTGTAGGGGAATAGGAATGGAATAGAAATTAATGAAACTAGGAGTGATGTAAAAATTCTGACAAGTACAAGCATTACTTTTTAAAATTACTTTTTAATTGTGAAAACATTGTGATAAAATACATTAATATTTACCACATTCACCGCTTAGACCTGTACAGCTCAGTGTGTGAAATATAGTCACATCATTTGCAAACAGTTTCCAGCACCATCCCCAGCCCCTGCACCCACCCTTCTGCTTCCTGTCTCTATGAACATGGCTACTCCAGGTACCTCCCACAGGTAGAATCATGGAGCTTTATTTTTGTATTTTAGAAAATGTATGGTGTGGCCGGGTGCGGTAGCTCATGCCTGTAATCCCAGCACTTTGGGAGGCCAAGGTGGGCAGATCAGCTGAGGTCAGGAGTTTGAGACCAGCCTGGGCAACATGGTGAAACCCCATCTCTACCAAAAAACACAAAAATTAGCTGGACGTGGTGATGCATGCCTGTAGTTCCAGCTACTTGGGAGGCTGAGGCAGGAGAATCACTTGATCCTGGGAGGTAGAGGTTGCAGTGAGCCGAGATCACCCCACTGCACTCCAGCCTGGGCGACAGAGTGAGACTCCATCTCAAAAAACAAAACAAAACAAAAAAATGTATGGTGGGTAGCAAACTGCTGTGATATGTAGATTTTAGTGGATATTTTAAATAAATGTTTTATTTTAAAATGTGAATATGCCATAAATTAAATACTTATAAATGAAAGTTTGAATGTTAAGTCAAAACATGTAAGGGGATACATAATTTTCCAAATTTCTTTTAGCGACTACGTTAGTAGAAAAGAAGCTAGTGATCCTAATTCAGACTCTTTGTTTTATCCATGAGATTAAGCAGCTCACACACAGTCACACGTCCGGTGGGTTACGCCACATCAGCAAGCCCTCAAGGCTCCCGACACCCAACAGCTGCTTGCAGTCACAGGTTCTGTTGTCCATACATTGTAGCCATTTATTTTGATTTTCAGTGCACTATTCACATATACCCTTATGTATGAATACTTTTTATAGCCAAGAATCCATAAGTAATACCCTATAATTTATCTCTGGCATAAGTTAGATTTTTATATAGAAGATTTAAATAGACAAACCGGTATTTGGTAATCTGTATTTTGTTTTAAGTAAGATTAAGCGTATCACCCTATAAATCATCATTACCCCAATGTGAGCTTGGAGAGGTAGAAATGACGTGAGAGGTCAGTCAGTCAGAAATACAGAAGAATCAACTTCGGCACAGTAAATTATCCCCAAAAAGCTTTCAGGAAATTCTGAATCATATTTGAAATGTTAAAGGCATGAATTATATGACTATCCATAAATATTTCTGAATCTTTAAAAAAGATCCTTTAAGAAACTTCAAAATAAATGAATGGAATCCAATAATTTAAAACTCAAGTGCTGTTATTTCTACAAGATCTTGGATTATATGTTCATTTGTTCATTGGAAGAAAAATCACATTTTCATTTCTTATATTTTATTTATATTAGAAAGAGCACTTCAATATTAATTCAAATATCTATCCATTAAATGCAAAAATGTTAATGCAATATTAAAAATGAAATTTAAATGAAAGCAAGGGAATATCACATTAAGGTTCCCATGGCAACCCTCACTACACTTCTCAGCTTCTGAATTGTAATATGGTCATTTATTACTGGCTCATATAAAATATAATTTTGCAAATATTTAAAGATGTATAGGTTAATTCGTGTCAATTCAAGCCTTCAGATGCAATATAATATAATACATTAGGCTAAGAATACTCCAAATATTAACCCATATTCATAATTTAGATATATCTATATAAAACAGATGCAAACTTCCTAAATTTTGAATGATTTGTTAGCACTCACATGAATCATACCATTTTGCAGTTCCCATCACAGCTGAAATCTGAGCCTTATGTTACTGAAATACTAATATAGGTATAGTCAAGCGACTGTCTCACTTTAGAAAGAATTTGAAATTACAAATGTCAGATTTTGCCAGAATAGGCAAAATGTAAATTCATTACCTCATATAAATCAAAAGTCCAAGAATTGAGTTTTGCAGATCAAATGATTCTGCCCGAGACCTGTTTATCATTGGCCTCACTTTTTTCTACCTTTAGTGGTACGTATTAACGTGTTGAAAACTCAAAAAAGTAAACATCCTTTAACCAAGAAGTATATCTCTTTATTTATCTAAAGGAAATAATTGGGTAACTGCCAAGCTGTGTCTGTAAGGATTTAGGAAAAAATATAAACAATTGAAATGCCCATCAACAGGAGTGGGTTAAGCAAAGTATGATGTACAGAGCTTTGAAAATGATTGGATCGATATATTGATATGGAAAGATGTCCAAAACCCATTGTTAAGTGAACAAAGCAAATAAAGAACAGTATGTCCAGCAAAGAAAAAACAACAAAAAGCCAAAACACTCCCTCAAGGACAATGTGGGCCACATGCAGTGGCTCACACCTGTAATCCAGCACTTTGGGAGGCCGAGGTGGGAAGATGACTTGAGGTCAGGATTTTGAGACCAGCCTGGGCAAAAAGCGAGACTCTCTCTCTACAAAAAAATTTAAAAAATTAGCCAGGTGTGGTAGTGTGTGCCTGCAGTCACGGCTGCTCGGGAAGCTGAGGTGGGAGGAACACTTGAGCCAAGATTGCGCCATTGCACTCCAGCCTGGGTGACAGACTGAGACCCTATCTCTAAAAAAAAAAAAAAGAACAATGTATAGAGACTCATCTGGAATGATACACTCCAAATGATAATGGTGGAGATCTTTGGATGGTGAGATCACGGCTTTTTATTTTATTTTTCCAAATTTTTTTCAAATGAATATAATCAGAAAATAAAGCTTGAAGACAATATAAGTACTGCCTGCTGTTATGAGTGTGAAAATACTGATACTCTCCTCCTCTGAGGGTAGGAGCATAAGTTGATATAAATATTCTTGCAAATTTTTTTTTTTTTGAGACAGAGTCTCACTCTGTCACCCAAGCTGGAGTGCAGTGGTGCCATCTCAGCTCATTGCGGCCTCCCTGGGTTCAAGTGATTCTTGTGCCTCAATCTCCCAAGTATCTGGAATTACAGGCATGTACCACCATCCCCAGCTAATTTTTGTATTGTCAGTAGAGTCAGGGTTTCACCATGTCAGCCAGGCTGGTCTCGAACTCCTGACCTCAAGTGATCCGCCTGCCTTGGCCTCCCAAAGTGCTGGGATTACAGGCGTGAGCCACTGCGCCCAGCTGATTTTTTTTTTTTTTTTTTTAATCAGACAAGATCTCACTCTGTTACCCAGGCTTGAGTGCAGCAGCCTGATCATGACTCCCTGCAGTCTTGACTTCCCAGGCTCAAGCGATCCTCCCCTCTGAGCCTCCCGAGTAGCTGGGACCACAGGCATGCACCACCATACCTGGGTAATTTTTAAATTTTTGTAGAGGCCAGGCGCAGTGGCTCATGCCTGTGATTCCAGCACTTTGGGAGGCCAAGGTGGGTGGATCACCGGAGGTCAGGAGTTGGAGACCAGCCTGGCCAACATAGTGAAACCCCACCTCTACTAAAAATACAGAAATTAGCTGGGCGTGGCGGCTTGTGCCTGTAGTCCCAGCTACTCAGGAGGCTAAGGCAGGAGAATCTCTTGAACCTGGGAGGCAGAGGTTGCAGTGAGCTGAGATCGGGCCACTGCACTCCAGCCTGGGTGACAGAGCGAGACTCTATTTCAAAAATAAATAAATAAATAAATAAATAAATAAATAAATAATTTTTTTGTAGAGATGGGGGTCTCACTATATTGCTCAGGCTGGTCTTGAACTCCTGGACTCAAGCATCCTCCTGCCTTGGCCTCCCAAAGTGCTAGGATTACAGGCGTGAGCCACTGTGCCCAGTTTGGGATGTTCGATAACATTAAAAAATTGCAGAAAAATTGTATAATTCTTGTAAACTTTTTAAATTTTTTTACTTCTATAATTCTATTTTCAAAAAACAAACAAATTGAAAGCCACTCAAATATTTCAAGAGTGATTAAATAATTACATATTTATTCCATAAGAGGAAATACGATGTACTCATTAAAAATCATAAAATATTTCTGTGGGTCAATACCATTGCAATTCCGTCAAATCAAGATGATTTTAACTACAAGGAATAGAAAATGCAGTCAGCTTAAATGATAAAACTTCTGGATAAACACTGCAGTTGAACATGCTTGTTAACCAGTAATTCCTCCTGAAACCTACTAAAATCACAGGAAAGGGGAAAAAAGCATAAACCCATAAAGACAAAAAAAAAGAAAAAAGGAGGGAAGACAATAGCAATTCCCCCTCTTTTTAAAATAGGGTGGTTTCCAGAACCAGAATAGGCTCATCGGCTCAGAGTTTCCCTCATTCCAATTAAAAAAATTTTTAAAAATTGTTTATTTTCTGTATTTTGTTGAAACATTCCAATATTTATT